>NC_000001.11:212275496-212427011 GCF_000001405.40 Homo sapiens
GCACCTGGAACAGGCCAGGCTCATTATAAGAAGTTAATTAATGATTTTTGAGTGAATGAAAAGAAAACATTAAGCACCATTACATCTCTTGATAATCTCATTTTCCTTCTAGGTAGTAGGCTCCAAAGTTCCATAAACACAAAATTTTTAAAGTGCTAGGCAAGAACAATGATCTTATGCTAATCCATTCTAATTTCATTTTTTTGTAAATGTTTTTATACAGAGTTAATAAACAGAGCCTTGAATTTCCACTGATTTTTATAAGAATGGAGAACTCCAGAGATGCTAGAATACAAAAAATTGCTCCTGAAAATGGAAGAAGTCACCAAGACCAAACTCCCAAGGGAAAAGACAGGAGTGTCACATAGATGAAAGAGACTTTAAGGGGGGATCTCATTTGATCTCTTTCTGCCAGATTCTTTATATGAATGGTGCCTAGCATATAGTAGGTGTTAAATTTATGGTAGAGATGATATGTTTGTTTTATTTTGAGACAGAGTCTCGCTCTGTCCCCCAGGCTGGAGTACAGTGGTGCGATCTCAGCTCACTGCAACCTCCGCCTCCTGGGTTCAAGTGATTCTCCTGCCTCAGCCTCCCAAGTAGCTGGGACTACAGGTGCCCACCACCACGCCCAGCTAATTTTTGTATTTTTAGTAGAGGTGGGGTTTCACTATGTTGCCGAGGCTGGTCTCAAACTCCTGACCTCAGGTGATCCACCCACCTTGGCCTCCCAAAGTGCTGGGATCACAGATGTGAGACACTGCACCTAGCCAAGATTATATTTACACTTACCTACAGACACACAAATTTTTGAAAAAGCCATATTGTTTGCATAGAAGTCAAAGCATAGGGTCTGAAAACATTAATTTCCAATTTAATAATTCCTGAAAAACTCTTAGTACTACCAGTATTATCAAATTGTAGACAACACCTTACATAGAAGATAACAGTGAGTTTGTAGGATTTTCAAAGTAATTTGATCCAAAATAGTAAGCCAATGAGAGAGAATACATTGCTGACATTCAGCAGCTAGGTATTTTAAGACAGGGACTGCCTCAAAACCTACTTGATGCTGACACAGAGTCTTACTATTTGTCTTCTGGCCCACAGGTCTCCCTTTCTCTGGCCTTGCCCTCTGTAATCAGTTCATCCTCCATACTGCCAACAATGTAATTTTTCTAGAATGCAAATCTGATCATGCCACTCTCCTGCTTATTAAAATCCTTCAGTGTCTCCCCACTGACTTGAGGATGAAACCCAATAACTGCACACAAAGCCCTTCATGACCCACTCTGCCCTCCTCAATAGATGCAGCTTCTGCCCACCGAAGAAAGCTTATACCAAATTCCTTTGGTTTCCAGATGTAGCCCCTTCTCTCAGGGTTCTGCACCTTATAAGTTATATTCCTACTGCTTGGAATGATTTCCTTTTTTTTTTTGTCTTCAGATGGATGAAAGCAGAAGACCACTTATATATTTACATAAAATATGCATAGTAGAGGAACATGAAGGAACCATATAGTACTTTTGCAATCATTGCTTTTTATGATATACCCAGAGGACAGTTATGTGTTGAAGTTAATCTCTACTTTTTCTTTGCTCATCCACTTCCAGGTCAAATTCTGATACAAGGTGTGGCATAATATATTCTCCTCTTGCAATGAAATTTTACTTTTTGGTAATAGTTGTGTGGAATAAGTAAATTCATTGAGATACAGAAATCTTCATAGTGATGGAGAAATGTGGTAAGCTAATTTCTGAATGGCAGGCATTTTTCTTCTTTTTTTGGTCTTCTCCATATGATAATTTTGTTTTGTTTCTTTTCTTTTCTTTTTTTTTTTTTTGAGATGGAGTTTTGCTCTTGTTGCCCAGGCTGAAGTGCAATGGCGTGATCTCGGCTCACTGCAACCTCCGCCTCCCGGGTTCAAGCGATTCTCCTGTCTCAGCCTCCCAAGTAGCTGGGATTACAGGCACATGCCACCACGCCCGGATAATTTTTATATTTTTAGCAGAGACGGGTTTTACCATGTTGGTCAGGCTGGTCTCGAACTCCTGACCTCAGGTGATCTGCATGCCTTGGCCTCCCAAAGTGCTGGGATTACAGGTAAGAGCCACTATGCCTGGCCTTTGTTTTGTTTCAAGACTGGTTTCAAACATTACTTTTTCTGTTAAATTTTCTCTTTCTTTCCAAACCAAATTAGATCCTATATTTCACTGTTTTGCCACACCATAAAAAATATTTCTGATAATTGTTTGTTCATTTGTTTATGTTGTCCCTCCTCACTAGATTGATTTTAAGGCCCATCCTTATCTACCTCTTCATTCCTAGTGACTGGCATATTGCCTGACAAACAGAAGGCACTTGGAAAGTGTTTGCAGGGTTGAATTAAAGTGTGGAGAGTTTGCTAACATCAGGTTCTTTCGTCCCACTCTGCAAGGGCAAGGGTATATTGGCATGAGTTGAGCCCCTTCAAACTATGTCCTGGTTCCTCATCTATACAGGTAAAGAAATGGGTAGACAAGGGGCTATTGAACATTTATGATTACAGCCCATTTAGATGGGGCAAAAGATTTCATAGTTATGGAAAGATGATTCAGTGATAATCAGAAAGTATAAATACAGGAGCAGGTTTTCGGGGATTAATAATACCTCTGCTGTATCAACAGCCCACATTCAGTCTATCTGCAAATCCTATATACTCCTCGTCCAAAATAAATCTCCAGTCTAGCCATCTCTACTGCCACTGGCCTAGTCTAAGCTCCTGGTTGACCAACACAATAGCCTGTACAATAGCCCACAACAAATGAGGTGAATCATAATAAGCTTAACTAAAAGAAGTTTAAAGTTAAAAAGCAAAAATGGCAGCAATTGAAAATCATGATGTCTAATCATATCAGTATGTTCTTGTGCTTGCAAAATGGCCAGATAGACAATATGGAATTAGAATTCTTTAAAAAGATCTAGAAAAGTAGATAGTAAAATGGTTACTCTAGTAAAGCAGATTAATAGATCTACCCTCTTACTTAGTTACCTTTTTGTGACAAGAGCAGCTATGATCTACTTATTTAACAAAAAACGCCTAATATAATACAATTTTTATTAACTTTCCTCCTACATTAGATCTCTAAACTTATTCATCTTACATACATGCTGTTTTGTATCCTTTGACCTACACCTCCCTGTTTCCTCTTCCTCACTGCATCCCACTGTTTCATTCTCTGTGTATTTGAACTCCTTTTTTTTTTTTTTAAAATCTACACATAAATGAGATCATGCAATATTTTTCTGTATCTGGCTTATTTCATTTAGCATAATGTCCTCTAGGTCCATCCATGTTGTGGCAAATAGCAGGATCTCCTCTTAGAGGGCTGAATAACATTCCATTATATATATATTATATATATAAAATGTGTCTGTATAATGCATATAATGCATGTGTATATATATATTATATATATAAATAATATCCCATTATACACACACACGTACATACCATTTTCTTTATATTTTCGTCTATTGATGGACATTTAGGTTGTTTCCATGTATTCCCTATTGTGCATAATGCTGCACTTAACATTGGGAATGCACATATCTTTACCAGTGGTATTTCATATTCTTTGGATATACATCCACTAGAAGGATTGCTGGGTCATGAGGTAGTTCTATTTTGAATTTCTTCAGGAACTCCATGCTGTTTTTCATAATAATTGTACCAATCTACATTCCCACCAATTGTGTACTAGGGTTCCCTTTTCTCTACACCCTCGCCAACATTTGTTGCCTATTGTCTTTTTGGTAATAGCTATCCTTATGGATGTGAACTGATATCTCCTAGTGGTTTTAATTTGCATTTCCCTGATGATAGTGATATCAAGTACATTTTCATATACCTGTTGACCTTTTTTTTTTTTTTTTGAGACAGAGTTTCACTCTTGTTGCTTAGGCTGGAGTGCAATGGTGCAATCTTGGCTTACTGCAACCTCCGCCTCCCGGGTTCAAGCGATTCTCCTGCCTCAGCCTCCCAAGTAGCTGGGATTACAGGGACCCACCATAATGCCTGGCTAATTTTTTGTATTTTTTTTTAGTAGAGACGGGGTTTCACCATGTTGGCCAGGCTGCTCTCGAACTCCTGAACTCAGGTGATCCACCCACCTCAGCCTCCCAAAGTGCTGGGATTACAGGCATAAGCCACCGTGCCCAGCACCTGTTGACCATTTTTATGTCTTCTTTAGAGAAATGTCTGTTCAGGTCTTTTGTCCATTTTTATTTTATTTATTTATTTGTTTTTGAGACAGAGTCTCCCTCTGTCATCCAGGTTGGAGTGCAGTGGCACTATCTCGGCTCACTGCAACCTCTGCCTCCTGGGTTCAAGTGATTCTCGTGTCTCAGCCTCCCAAGTAGCTGAGACTACAGGTGTGCACCACCACGCCCAACTAACTTTTGCATATTTAGTAGAGATGGGGTTTTGCCACGTTGGCTAGGCTGGTCTCAAACTCCTGGCCTCAAGTGATCTGCTTGCCTTGGCCTCCCAAAGTGCTGGGATTACAGATGTGAGCCACTGTGCCCAGCCTTGTCAATTAAAAAAAAATTTTTTTTTTAGGTTATTTATTTTTCTGCTATTGAGTTGTAAGAGTCCTTTATAAATTTTGGATACTAACCCCTTACCAGATATGTGGTTTGCAAATTTTTTTTCCATTCCATAGGTTACCTTTTCATTTTGTTGATTGTTCCCTTTGCCATGCAGAAGCTTTTTGGTTTGATGTGTCCCATTTAGTTTTTTTGCTTTTGTACCCTTTTTGATATAATATAAAAACAAAAATCATTGCCAAGGCCAATGTCAAGGAGCATTTTCCCTATGTTGATTTTAAGATGATTTTAGTGTATGGTATAAAGGTCCAATTTCATTGTTTTCATGTGGATGTATGGTTTTCCTAGCATCTTTATTGAAGAGACTATCATATACGGTTGAATTTATCTCTGGGCTCTCTATTCTGTTCCACTGGTTTATGTGTCTGTTTTTATGCCAGAACTATTCTGTTTTGATTACTATAGCTTTGTAATATACTTTTAAATCAGGAAGTATGATACCTCTAACTTTTCGTTTTTCAGTATTGCTTTGGCTATTTGGGAATTTTTGTGGTTGCAAATGAATTTTATTGTTTTTTCTATTTCTGTAAAGAATGCCACTGGAATTTTGATAGGGACTGGGTTAAATCTATATATTGCTTTGGATAAATCTATATATTGCTTTGGATGAACATTTTAACAATATTAATTTCCTTGCTGGAATAGCAGTTAGGATTTGGTGCTCTCTCCTGCAGCTTCTTGAAGTGTGACTTTGCTAAGCCTTAAGCAATTAAACACATTATATCTCTGGAAACATATATAAGAAACTGATAGCAGTGGTTGTCCCCAAAGCGGGGAACCAGATGTTGGGAAGCAGGGGTGGGAGTGAGACGTTTCCTGTTGCCCTTTTACTCCTTCTGAATTTTAAATAATGAGAATGTATTTAAATAAATAGAAATGAGGCACTAAAAATTAGTGTATTTTTATAAGTCAGATACTATCTTGATTTAGATTCTAGTAAAGTGGTAGTAAGATGCAAACATTTTTAAAAGATATGAGATATTTTTTATTTTTATTTTTTGAGATAAAGTGTCACTCTTTCTCCCAGGCTAGAGTGCAGTGGCACCATCAGTGCTCACTGCAGCCTCGACTTCCTGGCATCAGGTGATTCTCCCACCTGAGCCTCCTGAGTCACTGGGACTACAAGTGCACACCCCCACCGCCACCTAATTTTCTGTATTTTTAGTAGAGATGGGGTTTTGCCACATTGCCCAGGCTGGTCTTGAATTCCTGGGCTCAAGTGATCCTCCGGCCTTGGCCTCCCAAAGTGCTGGGATTACAGGCATGAGCCACTGTGCCTGATCATGAGAGAAGTTTTGTGTAAATTTGGAAAATACTACCACTCTTTGATTCTGTAGATCCGGCACCTTGGTCTGGTGTTCTATTGGAGCAGTTTGGGAATCATGACTCTTAAGGAAAGAGAATGTTGACAGTCAAAACTTTGCTTGGATATGCTTTAGAGAATTTCACAGTGATTTGAAAAGAACACTCTCTGTGATGTGCTCTTTAAAACCATTACACAACCATTATTTTGATGTTGTGGATATTACTTTTTCTCGCATCATTTTTCTCAACAAAAGGATAAGGTCAGTAAGTGTATATACGTTTATAAACTAAGGAAGTTAAGTAATGTAAGCACAAACCATCCAAGGAATTTGTTAGTGATGCAATCCTGGCCTCTAAATTGCTCTTGACCAAGGAGCTTCACATATGGGAAGGATCAGAAATTCTATGGCATGGAATCAAAGACACTCTTCCTGCTTCAGGGGCACATATAGATTAGTACTGTCATTGCAGTTTCCTATTAGATGATTCTTAGTGACCAAATCTCTGTCTAGGACCCAGATACCTTATTTACTCAAAATAGTGGACGGAAAATAAACGTTTGATATACATGTATGCATAATATTTTCATCTACATAATTTTTATTTCCCTGAGTGTTTTTTCTTGGGTCATATTTAAAACTCATGCCAGCCCTGTGAAGAAGGTTGTCATTTTTTTTTTCTGATGTACACATGTGGAAAAAGTGACTGGACAGAATCATTCTATTGATAAGTAGCACAGAGTCAGGCATTTTGATTCTTGGGCTTTTGTTCTTCCCCCTGGAAAATGCTTAGTGACTTGATCTGGAATGCCATCCTCTCTTTTCAGGTTTTGACTTGATCTTTAAAATTATGCTCAAAATTCTTCCCCAAGAGGCTGTTTCACCAAAGCCCAGATGGTTTTTGCTGGTTCCAAGACTCCCAAAAACTTGTTTCCAGTATTTTCTATTATATCCAGTATCTATTATTTATCACATTCCAGTATGAACATGGAATATGATTTATTGTATTGACTTACAGAATTTGCTTTATTGTATTTATTTTTTTCTTTTCTTTTTTTTTTTTTCTTTTTTGAAACGGAGTCTCACTCTGTCACCCAGGCTGGAGTGCAGTGGCGCAATCTTGGCTCACTGCAACCTCCGCCTCCCGGGTTCAAGCGATTCTTCTGCCTCAGCCTCCTGAGTAGCTGGGACTACAGGCTCGTACCACCACACCTGGCTAATTTTTTATTTTTAGTAGAGACAGGGTTTCACCATGTTGGCCAGGCTGGTCTCAAACTCCTGACCTCGTGATCACCCACCTCGGCCTCCCAAAGTGCTGGGATTACAGACGTGAGCCACTGCGCCCGGCCTGTACTGATTTTCTTTCTGCTATTTGTCTCCCTTTCTTATTTTATGTAAATTATTATAAATAGTACTACTCCTGACTTACAGACATTTACATTCTGTTTTTAATAACTTCTAGATGACTAGAGAATAGTAGTTCCAAACTTTTGTGTACATAAGAATAACCTAGGGAAGTTATTAAAAATAGACTTCTCAGTGCTCTTCCCATAGGTTCTAGTTCTGTTGGGGGGAGGCGGGGGAGGTCCAGGAATCTGCATTTTCAATAAGCACCCCAGAGGATGCTGATGCAGGTGATCCAGTAACCACGCTTTCAGAAATTCTGCTGTTGAGAACTAAAAATGTGATTGTTATCCTCTGCTCAGTAGGGGAAACAGAGGTGTAAAATAAAATAACTGAGTTCTTGCTCTCTTGGTGTTGACAAACTTTCAGCTGTGAGTGGTGTGGACACTAAATGCAATAGGAATACAAAGAAGGGAGGCATCACTTCTGGCTGGATTGTCAAGCTTCATAAAAGATAGGGGGTTTGAAGAAAAGAAATTTCAAAAAGATGAAAAAAAAATGGGCCGGGCGCGGTGGCTCACGCCTGTAATCCCAGCGCTTTGGGAGGCGGAGGTGGCCGAATCACGAGGTCAGGAGTTCGAGACAAGCCTGGGCAACATGGTGAAACCCCGTCGCTACTAAAAATACAAAAAATTAGCCGGGCGTGGTGGCAGGTGCCTGTAATCCCAGCTACTCGGGAGGCTGAGGCAGGAGAATCGCTTGAACCCGGGAGGCGGAGCATGCAGTGAGCCGAGATTGTGCCACCATTGCACTCCAGCCTGGGTGACAGAGCAAGACTCCGTCTCAAAAAAGAAAAAAAAAAGTGGATTATTTCAAGATGTTGGAACAGCAAAGACTAAGTGTTGAGGATGCATAACTTCTTTTAGGGGATCAGTATGTGGAATGATGTGCCTGAACTAAAAAGAGTTTTTGTGGGCACATGTAGGAATTTACACTTGGAAAGACAGGAGTCAGATCGCAGAGAGTCTTGAATTTGGACTCTATTCTGCAGGTATTGGGTGGTTCCTCAAACACGCAGGTAAGATAAAAGTGATCTTAAAAGATTGATGTGGCAGTGAGTTTGAAAGCCGTGAACTACGTTTGGCGGTCTTTGTACACATTGGGAGAAACGCCAATTGTGAAAGTAGATTTAACATGATCTGGAGCTTGACTATGTGAGAAAGCGAAAAGTGTCAGAAACGCTGCTGAGGTTTGAACCTCCTTGACTGGGAGGATTATGTACAATTTCACCGCCCAGCAAATCTGAAGGAGGAAATGTTTTGAGGATAGTATGTTTGGTTCTAGGTCTAGAATTCAACTTCCTGCCAAATTTGGAATCTTCTGTACATATGCATCAGGTGGCTTCGTTTAAATATACGACAATTACTTTTATTATGTTGAAAGGAAAAGGTCTGGAGCTCGAGGGAGGGGATTACAGATTTGGGTCCATTGGCGCAAAGGGAGGCTGACTGTTCAGATTAATAATTATTAACGGCCACCGTATGGAAAGCACTGCACGAAAAACTAAGATGACCAGTCCTCGTCCTTAAGAAATTCAAAATCTAGACGGAATCTCCAAGAAAGAGATTCCGGTAAGAGTACATGGCAAGCCTCCATATCCACACACCACTGACCAATGAATTTGTACTCTTCTCGTTGGAGTAGTTGAGGGCCTTTGGCTCAAGGAGGGGTGAAAATTAGCAGGATACTAAATTGGGAATGAGAAATCTCTTTTTAGAGGGCGTGGACTTGCAGAACTCTTTGAAGCAGCAGATGCTAGACTGCCCAAACCCCACGCGAGAGTAGCTCTCTGGAGTTGCGGAGTCCGAACCTCCCAAGAGCTACAAATTTATTCCGCAACTACCAATTTTGCGGTTTGGGGCCAGTAAGGCGCCAAGACCCGCCCAGGTGTCCAGACCTCGCAACGATTGGACGAGCTCACCTTCTCGCCTTCCCCGGGCCCCTCGCCCGTCAATCACACTGCTTGCTCGCCACCTGACCTCTGCTGCGCCCCCTTTCAGTGGTGTAACACCTGGCGCTCTTTCGCGCCCCAGCCCTCCGGCGCCCCACCAATCGCTTCAGTTCTTCATTGGCCAGCAGAGAGGTGAGGGAAGGGAAGGGGCGCTCTATTTTGCTCTCTGAACGCACCCTCTCAAGTTTCCCAGTCTTCTCGTAGACGGTCAGGAGAGCAATGACAGCCTGGAGCAGTCGCGCGTGAGCGCAAAAATGCCCGCTGGTGGAGGAGCGCTTCCCCTCCCTCCCAAGCGATTTGCCGCATTTGTTCTGACGCAGGGGCACCCCGCTCGCCGTCTTCACTTACGATTGGCTGTGGCCGAAGCCCGTCACACAGCCCGCCCCACTCCTCTGCCTCAAGAGGCCGCACCTCACGCCGTCGCTGCCGCTTAGCCGTGTGATTGGCTAAGAGGGCTGGCATGCTTTCCCGCCCCCTCCCCCGCCGCCGCACCAAGAGGCGGGCGGGACCCCGCGGAAGTTGTCAGTCAAACTCCTCCTTCCCACCCCTTGCGAGGCCCCTCCCCGGGCCGCGCGCCCTGGCGCGCGCACACGCGCACACACTCCCCAGTCGCCTGTACCAACCACCTTCTCAAGTTGTAGCGGTCGCTCGCCTGGGGTTCTCCGTGGGCGGCCGACGGGCGCGTGGGGGAGGGGGTTCGGGCCGCCCAGCGCGGCAAGGAGCGAGTGTGTGCACGCAGAGGGCCGGGGCTACGGGGCAGCGCCCCGGGCGATGAGGGGCCGGCGTTGACCGGGAAGAGCGGGCACCGCGGCAGTGGCTCCGAGGGGACCCGCGATGGCAGCGCCCTGAGAGGAGGCTCCAGGCAGGGCGGGCTGCGCTGGCAGCGGCCGCTGAGGTGCTGGCCGGCCGGCTGGCTGGCGACGGGGGCAGAAGCGACGAGAGGCGCGCTCGGCACCCGCACCCCCGTGCCCCCGCCTCAGTTGTCTAAACTTCGGGCTCTCTTCCACCCGCTCTGCGCGCCCAGAGTCAACAACTTCTTCACCCCCCTCCGCCCCCGCCCTTCCCTCCGTCAGCCCCGGGAGCTCGCCGCGCGCCGGGGACCAGGAACCTCCAGCGCTGAGATGTGGCCGTGAGGCGTTGGCGGGCGGCGAGGAGAAGCTCGGCGGCGTCCCGGGGCCGGAGGGCCGTGGGGCCGGGGCGCAGGGGCGCGAGCACCCCGCGCCTCTCCCCCGCCTCCTCCTGCCGTCTCCGCCGCTGCCCGTGCCTTGCAAGCAGCAGCCGGAGCTGCCAAGCGTCAGGGCCGCGGAGATGTCGTCGTCGTCGCCGCCGGCGGGGGCTGCCAGCGCCGCCATCTCGGCCTCGGAGAAAGTGGACGGCTTCACCCGGAAATCGGTCCGCAAGGCGCAGAGGCAGAAGCGCTCCCAGGGCTCGTCGCAGTTTCGCAGCCAGGGCAGCCAGGCAGAGCTGCACCCGCTGCCCCAGCTCAAAGGTAACCTCCGAGGGCGCAGCCCCAGCAGCGAGCGCAGGGGCTGGCAACGCTTGCCTCTGCGCCAGCAGAGCCATTTCCTGCTGGGTTTCTCCTGCTCAGTTGGGACTGGTAGTGTGTGAGCCGAGTTCCCCACAATGCCTTGGCGTCACCTCACGCCCTCCTCCTTATTCAAACAGGTTTTCTGTGAAGTCTTGGCTGTTTCCTTCTAATTCCCACCTGAACTCTTTCCATCCTAGGGGAGGCCAACACCCTTCCCCACCTGCGCGCTTGCTTAACCTGCACTTCCTATCTTGCGTCCCGTGAAGTAGAGTCCTTCACTCCTCTTCCAGGTTTGCCCTTTCCCGGTCTTGCTTTAACAACCGCACGAACCTTCCCCGACCTTCACTTTCCCGAGTGTCAGCTCCTCTGTTCGGCCACTTTTAGCTAGTCCTTTACTTTTACAGTTATAAAGCCGTCTGCACCCACCTTCTTCTCAACTTCACTTCCCATTGATTGCCCCTAAGAGTCATCAGACCAGGAATCCGAATGCAAACAACGGTTAAGAGTTAGCTGGCCTTTGGATGTATTTATAAAGAAAAAGCCTAAAATTTGACCAGTGTAGTATCTTATTCACAGGATCGTTAGCTTTAAATGGTATCCTTTAGCTCAAGGAATAGATTTAAAATATTCTGTTGTCTGAGCCGATACACATGGTCTATTTGGAAATACGAAGGAGTAGGTAGTGTTGCTTTGCAGTCGAATGGGAACTTAGTTTGCCAGGCAGTGATTCCAGGGACTTTGTAGGTTTGTACAGGAATTCAAATTGGTATCCGTGCCTAATGCCTTGCAGGAGAACTTGGCACTCTTTTTGGCTCACTTTTCCCACTAGGTTTAGAGGATTTTCGATGTTATTTCCTGGTGTTCTAGTTTATTCTTTGTGTATTACTCATGCTTAATTTTATAATTTTAATGTCCTTGCTTTTTATGAGATAGAAATGTTGGAACAAGATGATAATGCTCCTACATATTTAGATAAAATTTGCAACCTGACGGAAATCCCTATCATCTGATGTTCAGATTTTTCAATTCATTTGAAAAAGCTGCAGCATCCCCTTCAAGGCCAGTCTGGTTCTCATTTGTCTTTGGGCCTGTGAATCCAGCCTTAGTTTGGCAAGGAGTCTAAAGAAAACCCCAGATCAAATCACAGTTGACCTACAACAGCTCCAGAACCCTATTGAGACCCTACCTTGCCCTGACTCTTGGAGTGCTTCTAAATCATGACATCTCACAGTTAGAATCAAACTGGCTTTTGAACAGAGATTTTGAGATATTAGTCTGTGCTATCGAATTTATCATTTGATTGCTCTTTAGCATATAAAAATTGTTAAAATTTACATAGCAAAATGGTAGACTATAATGATAGGCATTGCCAAGACTTTAATTCTTGAATGATGTCATAGCTATAAAAGAATATCGTCTTTGCTATTCATAGATTTTAAAATTTACACTTATTTAAAATATCATAGTTTTTTTATACTACTGATTTTTTTTCTCCCATTAAATTGTCAAACTGTAGTTTGAAGGTTTGGTGCTAGGGTTATTTCATAGTTATTTAATTTGCTTTTTAGTAAGATATTCTAGTTTCTTAGTATTGTACTTCTTAATAGTATACTTTAATAAAAGTAATTGAATATTAAACATTTGGTTGGTTTCAAGCCAGGAGATGCAGCTTTGATAGGTTTTGCTTTTATTTTATTTATTTTATTTTATTTTTTCACTTTCGTTGCTCAGGCTGGAGTGCAATGGCGCGATCTCAGCTCACTGCAACCTCCGCCTCCCGGGTTCAAACAATTCTTCTGCCTCAGCCTCCCAACTAGCTGGGATTACAGGCATGTGTCACCATGGCCGGCTAATTTCGTATTCTTAGTAGAGATGGGGTTTCACCATGTTGGTGAGGCTGGTCTCCAACTCCTGACCTCAGGTGATCAGGCCACCTCAGCCTCCCAAAGTGGTGGGATTACAGGCGTGAGCCACCGCACCTGGCCACATTTTGCTTTTAAAAGCTTGGAAAAATATGCATAGAGTCAGTAATCATCTAAGTTATATGATGTAGGGTTCAACAAGTTGAAGGTGCCATATAGTATTTGGTCACTAGTAAAGAAGAAAGTAAATTGGAACTTTACATTAATTGTAGATATTTGCATGAAAATACAGTATTCATCATAAGGAAAATTATGTATTCAGGATAAATTTATGCAAATTTAATTGAGGAAATAAGACCCTTACTTGGATTACAAACTAATAGGAACAACTTCTTTTACTCCAGATGCCAAAATGCTTGCAAGTGATTTAAAAAAAAAACACCAACATTCAATTGCTTCAATTGGAACTTTGGCAGTGTACTTGATACCACAGTGTTGTGTTTTTTCTGCCAGTGGTAGTTTTTTCCATTTGTGGCCTTCACAAAAACATGGAAAGCCCTTTAGTATGTGTATGAAAGAAAGAATTTTCTTCCTCCTCTGAAATACCATCTTACTGTGGAGTGATTCAGATATCCATGGACTCCAAGATCTTTTAAGTTTCATACCAGCCTGCTTATGTTACTTTGACCACATGCATCTGAACTGGAAAGGTGCCAACTAGTTTTCCTCAAACCATAGTAAGGATTAACAAAATAATCCAGCCTTTTCACCTGTAAGAAGTATTTGTGCAAAATAATTTAGTAAGTGGGTTGTGGGATTTTAATGGCAAAAATGTTCAGAATAAATTGTTTTATAATTGAAAGTATTTAATAAACAACAAGCCTTGTTAAAAGGCTTTTCAGTCTAACCTATTTTGTTTAAGATTCTGGAAGGCTTGGTTTGGTAAAGTAGTTGATGCCTTACATTTATATAACATTTTAGCATTTTAAAATTATTTTACCTTAAAAATTTTCTTAAATTATAAAACAGTATTGTTCATACCAAGTGAAACAATCCAAAGATATGTAACCCTTAATCCCTGTGTATCTCCTGCTTTTTCACACCTAGTAAGTAAGGGTAATACTGTTGTTTGATAATCCATGGCTCATTGTATTTTTACAAACATCCTATTCATTGGGTCATCCCTGAACTTTTTGCAAGGTCAGTATTCCCATTTTATTGATGAGAAAGTTGAGGCCTAAAAAGAATAGTTTCTGGCCTGTGATTACTTATCTGGATGATGTTGCAGCTGACACTGGGACCTAGGTCAAATGATTTCAGTATTTGTGCTGTTAACTGTTTTATGTAAATTTGAAGCAGTGTGATAGAGTTGGGTCTCTGGGGTTAGTCCTGGGTCAAAGGTAAATTTTTAATCTTTCTAAGTCGTTTTCCTTATCTGTAAAATGGGGATAATACAAATCTCCCCAGGCCTGTGGGGATTAAGGGGAATAATTTAAGTGCCTAAAAATAGGCAAAGAATGTTAGTTCCCATTCTCTTAAATATTTGAAAATCCAGATTAAAAATATTTTTAAATGAAGGATTATTAATAGGATTACTTACTTAAATGGTAAACTTTCCTAGTGTATTTAAAGTGATTTTATTTATAATCAGTTTTCAGATATGATTTATGTGATCTGAAGTGCAGCTGCAACATCTTTCAGCACGAGTGTAGAAATGGAAATAGGATTAAGTCAGACTCTTTAAAACATTAAAAGCTGTGATAAGATTTTTTTACCAAGCGAAGAAATCAACCTAACCAGTAGAATTATATAGATGTGCAGTCATCTTAGGAGACAGCCGGGAAATAAATAGCAAGATAGGCTGAAACTGGCTTTGAGATTGAAGTCCCCTTCAGAAGAGGTAAAACTTTCCCAAGTAGCACTCAAGATTCTTTGTTGGTCCATTCTTAGCAACTGTGTCCCACTAGAGGTATTGAGGCCAGTAATAGTGGTGTTGATTGCAGTGCTTCCTTACCTTTAGGGGGAAAAATGTGTGTGTTTTCTAAAGTAGGTGATCTAAGGTAATTGTGGAACAAGAACACTGACATTATCTTAAGTTCTATAGCTAAACCTTTTTGTGGAGAGAAAACCGTACTACTCACTCAACTTTTAAGGTTTATAGATCTTCTCAAAGTTACTATCATTCCATCTAAACACAGTTGGGATGGCACTAGAGGAGAGTTCAAATTCATCTGAAGATGTTAAGAAAATTGTTTACAAAAGGAAATAACATTTTAGTCATTTTAGGACTATTTTCTGAGATATCTCTTCTGGAAGATTTATTTTTAAAAAATTTAAAACATTTTTAGGATATTCTTAAGAGAAATTGCTAAATAAAGTGTTCACTGCTAGTCCTCACATAAAGGAAAAACTTTTCTATTTAAACCCATTTTAACATCTTTAGAATTCCTGTTTAGGATCATCTCTTCCTCCTCTCCATTTTATTACCTTATCTGATTGTTAATTGTGGATTATTTTATGAAGTGTCTAACTGAATAAAGTGCTAATCCAATAAAATGTATTTGGTAAAATAATGCAACCATTGTAGTATGTTACTGTCATGTAAACAGTAGATTTAAATTGTCTTCCTGCATCAGTGATGACTCATTCCTTTCAACTTCAGTTTAGCCATTTTCACCTGCAAGAATAACATTTTTCTCTTGATAAAATAACAAAGATGAATTAGTCTTTAAGGAGTTATTGCTGCCTTGGATTTCAAAGACAGGTTTACTAACAGAAATAACACATTTAGATTTTTGTGTTTCATTTTTAAAAGTTAGATTTTTGTAAAAAGCTGGGGATAAAGACTAGTTTGTTTTTATGTGTTTAGCACTGTGGTTCCCAATCCTGGCTATACTTGGAGAGGTCATTTATTTTATTTTATTTTATTTTTTTTCAGACTGAGTCTCGCTGTGTCCCCAGGCTAGAGTGCAGTGGCACGATCTCTCGGCTCACTGCCACCTCTGCCTCCCAGGTTCAAGCGATTCTCTTGCATGCACCACCATGCCAAGCTAATTTTTGTATTTTTAGGAGAGATAGGGGTTTTGCCATGGCTGGTCAGGCTGGTTTTGAACTCCTGACCCCAGGTGTTCTGCCTGCCTTGGCCTCCCAAAGTTATGGGATTACAGGCGTGAGCCACTGCACCCGGCCTATACCTGGAGAGTTTAAAACAAAACAAAACAAAACAAAAAATCAATACCTGGGCACATCCCTAAGAGATTGTAAATTAATTGGCCTAAGGTAAAATCCACTTACAGTATTTTTAAAAGCTCCCAGGGTGATTCTAACGCGCAGCCAGGATTGAGAATCACCGGGTTAGCATTGTCTGTCTATTGATTTAATTCATTAATTGAGACTTCGTCCTTTTCTCTCTGATACTCATGGTTCATTACCCAGCCTATTAACATTTCCTGCCCTGGCTTCACCTCCTGCTATTTACATTTCACTCTCTTAACTTTGCTGCCCCCTATAGCTTATTAGCTGCTTTCCTGAAGGGGAGATACTGCCATTAGATTCTGGAGTTTAGGTATGATGGGATGATTCTACTGGTTTATTGTCATTACCATAATTAAAGCCCAACTATTATTTGATGTAGGGTGGTCAGTTTTCTTTTCTCTGTGATTTTTGGAGCTGGCAGGTAAAATCGAGAACATGTGATAGAGGTTTGCCTAATTTTAATCCCATCATTCAGGATAATAAGTAATGATTTCAACCACTTTGGGATGTAAAACTAGTTTCCTCTGTATGCTCACAACACTGTTCTGTTTCTTGAAGATCTAGGCCTGATACTACCATTGTATATGTTAAATACAAGATATTGAACAAAGGAACTATTCTTGAACTTTACTGCGTTTTTGGTCATGCCTTATTTTTATTTCACATTAAGAAATGTTTTTCTCCAGAGTGTTTTCGTGTCTATCATCTAACTTAATCTTGACCACAACTTTTTATCGAAGGCAGGGCAGTGAGAACTCAGGGCTGCTTATATTCCATATTCCTATTTTGTCTTTGTCTTTTCTGGTAACTGGTTTGAATAATACTTCTGTTAGTTGATTTGTTGTTTGGGTGGCTTTTCAGTTGTTATGTTGTGATGCTCTCTCTCCAGAATGAGATGGTGAATTTTTCTGTGAAAGCAGAGTCATTATCTGTTTTTTCAAATCCTGTTATGGTACCAAATACAGTATTTTGTGCATAATGTGGTCATAGAGACAGAGTCAGTGTTTTGATGAAGAAATTATATGTTGGTTGTCTTATAGTCACTCCTTCCCCTTTAGATTGTGCTGCTTTTAGTGATGTTTGGTGCTATCTACCAGATGTTGATTCTTTTCTGTTTTGTTTTTTGGTTTTCCATATTTTTTTGAGACAGGGTCTTGCTCTATCACCCAGGCTGGAGTGTAGTGGCACAATTGTAACTTACTGCAGCCTCAAACTTCTGGGCTCAGGCAATTGTCCCAAGTAGCTAGGACTACAGGTGTGTGCTGCCACACCCAGCTAAGTTTTTTATTTTTATTCTTGTACAGACAAGTTCTCGCTATGTTGTCCTGGCTGGTCTTGAACTCCTGGCCTCATGTGATCCTCCGTCTTTGGCTTCCCAAAAGCTGGGATTACAGATGTGAATCACTGCCTCACCCAGTTTTTTGGTTTTAATATATTTATGCCTAAAACTGGTTCAGGATTATTTAAAACAGGGGAATCCAAGGGAGAGAATACAATCATGGGTTCTTAGTTTCTGTTTTTGGTTGTGCCAGTAAAGCCCCTTCCTCGTCCTTCTTTTCTGCTTATCACTAGAGACAGAAACTAAAAACCATGGCTTCAGGATGCTAAAAGCCTAAAACAAAACGAAACAGAACAACAACAACAAAATAAGGTGGGTTGGACAAGCTTGATTTAAAGTAAATGAATTCTGGGTCCTTAATATCTTGGTAGTAAATAGTAAATGTAGGTTTAAAACAAAAGATTATTTGTATTTTGCCAATGACCAGTATGAGTGACATGTAACATTATTGATTGATTTGTTGCTATGAAAGTTATTGTATAAGATTTGTGAGGAAAAGTAATACTGGGTTGACTCCTAGACATGGACATGTGTGTATAAAATAACTGAAACAATTTGTTTGCAGTAATTTCTAAGTTTAAGATGCAATCTTTCTTTATAAGGATGTCCTTGAAGGAGGTAAAAGGAACAGATTTGAAATATATAATACTTTTAGTGTATTATTATGTAACAAGGAATCTAAATGCTTTGCTGAAAGAGTTTTGTATGACAGACTGGGATTATGCAAAATAAACTCTACTTCTCTGAGCAGGATGTTGACTAATAAGCAGTTTCAAGCCTAGTTTTTATATCTGTCTTTTTGAACTGTTACCTGAAGGATTTTATTTATGTGGGACTTTTAAGTAAGTAATGAAGAATTTTAGAAATCCTGTAATTTTGATTGGGTTTGCTGAAGAAACATACTGGAATTTTTTTTTTTTTGGTGGGGGTAGTCTAACTTGGATACTGAAGACAAGGGATTTCTTGGAAACACACTCCTCCTACTGGAATGGTGATGCTAATTGCCGCTACTATATAACCTTACTGTGATGTTATATCTAGTTGAGCTTTCCAGTGCTGAATGGGATCTCAGAAGTCATTCTGGTTTAGCCTCTGTTGGGAATTGATTTCACTCTTGTTATTCTAATAAATATCTTGCCATTTCATCAGAGAAGTTTTCTTTAAGGTAGGGAGGAAAGTACAGGGTTTTAAAACCCTTATTCTCTCAGGTTTTGCTTAGTTAATGAATAAACCATTTAGATAATAGCTAAAAGAGGTTGAATACCTGAAACAAGAATTTTTAAATGGCTTAGAACTTGCAGTTCAGTAGTATCAAATCTAAAATTGTATATTTTTTTTCAGCAGAACGCAGATTTTAAAAAATTGTATATTTTGTCTAATTGGTTTTGCCTTTGTTTCACATTGTATCAAGGATATTCCATAATTACAGCTATTACCATAAGTCAATGGTTATTTGAACTCATTGTTAATCCCCTGCCTCTAAATTGATAAAAGTGAAAAAGGGAAAAAGGTGAGACAGTTTTTGTTATAACTCCTGAATTTTAATTAGCAAAACTGGGTAGATTTTTAAAACAACTTTTCAGACAGGCTTTTCTGAAGAAAAATATCTATTGAAGTTAAAAGTAAAATAAGACATAACTTCTGTAGGAATGTTTCTAATTTTATTAAAACAAACAAAAACAACAACAAAAACGTGCCCTACCATTCTTCTTTAAATTGGTCAGTGGCAAAATATTTTGTTTGCTGTGAAATTAGACACACACTTTATTTTCAAAAATCTAGTACAGAAATCTTTTCCTTTCTTTGGTTTTCCATAGTGCATAAAATTTTGGTGAACCGCTGCAGAGATTAAAACTTAGTAAAGTGAAAACAATGAATGCTTTTTCTTTTAAATTTAATGTCTTTAGGAGTTTATAGTTGGTGAATACAGACTTGTAAGCAGGCAGTTGCAATTAATGTGTTCAGTGTCATGATAAGAATAAGCTCTAAAATGTTAAGGGAGTATGTGAAGGACTCAATCCCGTTTTAGTAGGGGAGGGGAGTGATCAGGGAAAGTTTCCTGGAGAAAGTGACAGGTAAACTGCCATCTAAAAGGCCAGAAGGTGTTAGGCCAAGATAGATGGGCTAAGAGGTCCACCCAAAAGACAATATATGGAGACCCAAAGGTAATTGAGCATAGCATATTTTGGGAATTACCAGCAGTTTACATAGCTGTGATCTAGAATATAGGTTACATTCTATATCTCTGTGGTATATTCTGTATCACTAGAGAAGTGGAACAGCATTTAGGGTCTAGTGCGTAATCTTGTTGCTATGTTGAAGAATGGATGTAGGCAATTTATTGCATTCATACCTGCCAGTAACATGAAGAACGTATTGGGAAATCAGAGTGAGTAACACTAGTGAGGATACTGACACAGTAATCCAGACAAGAGATAAAGGTGCTTGTCCAAGTGGGGATGGGGTGGTATCATAGGCAAAATCTGGTGAGAGGGAACAATCAACGATGATACATTTCTAACTTGGGCAACTGGATGTATGATAGCAGTTTATTGAAAGGGAAAAAAGACATTAGATTTGGGAGGAGAAGATAATGGTTCTTTGTTGGACAGGTCGAAGTGTCCATGGGAAATTGAAGTGAAGCTGCCTAGTAGGAAGGCGGATTATTTGGATATGGAGCAATGTGCTAGAGATAATTTGAGAGTCTTTGGCTTACATGTGGCATTTGGAGCAATGGAAGTAGAAGCAACTGCCCACTGAAAATGGATAGAATGAGAAGACTCCAAGGAATACCAACATTGAGATAATGGGTAAGGGAAAAAGGTACAACCAAGAGCCAAGAGAGACAGCTGGAGTGGAGGCCAAAGAAGACAGGAGAGAGTGGAGACAAGGCTGTCAGGGGAAGAGAGTCTTTAAAAACTGGGGGATGGGTGGGGAAAGTAGTAACAGTGGATAACTGTGGACAAGTCAAGTAAGAACTGAAAAGTTTCCGTGGGTTAGTCTTTAGGCAACATTGGTGACTTGAGAGGCGTTTGGAGGACTGATAATGTGAAATGAGATTTGTGTAAGGTGGATAATGAGTAGAAATTGTAAAAGCTGAGTGAGTAAGTATGGACAACTCTTTCAGAAAGTTTGGCAGTTAAAAATTACTATAGCTACTGGGTAGAGAATGCATTGTAGCAGAAGAAGATTTTTAGGAGGACAAGTTAGGAGATTAATAAGCCAGGTAAGACTTTATGTGACTTGGGCCTGGGTAGTAGCCCAAGATGGAGAGAAGAAGATGCATTTGAGATATATCTTAGATAGGACCTTGTTAATGAATTGTTTGGGAGGAGATGGAAAGGCAGAGGTGTAGGAGTCAAGGATGACTCTCACGTGCTTTAGCTTGGACACCTGGGTGGATAGGAATGTGTCCCACCACCGAGAAAGGAGTACACTGGAGGGGGAATCAGGTATAGAGGGAAAATCCAGAGTTGTATTTTGGAAATTTTAAATTTGAGATGCCATTTAGAAACCCAGTTATAAATATCAAATAGATCACTGCATATGTGAATCAAAGAGTGCCCATTTGTTAATTTCTATACATTAACTATATTCTTTACTAATGTCTTCTAAACATTAACTGTATTCTTTACATTAACCTTTACTGGCCTGCCAAGACTTTCAGATTTGCTTATAAGAAGACATTGATAGTTTGGGTTGCTGGCCACTTAGTCTCCTGGCCAAATTGGGATTATCTATTCCCTACTCTATAGAACATCTTCTGTGTACACTGCATGATAAGATGTCATTGTTATGTGCATGAAGGAGAGCACAAAATATGCCGGGACAAGTTGCCTGAATAAGGTTAAAGTGCCTGCTTTTTGTCTTTAGACTATAAGTGCTTTGAGACCCAAGACCATATTTTCCTACACAGGATTTAGATAGTCAATGCTGTTTTATATTTATTGAATGAAAGAATGAAGCAAAAGCTATTAAATTGATTGAAAGAAAAACATCATTTATATCATACAATAATTTACAATTTTAGGGTGATTTATAACTGAGTAATGTTTACCTGCAACACTAAACTGGTTAGCATTTTATAGGTGAAGAAACCAAAACCTAGGTAGGTTACATTCTTATGCCGGTCATGTATGACTTGCTCTTCTCAGTTGGTTGCTGATTCCTCTATTAAATGGAAGTCCAGTTTGTTGCCTGGACTGAAGCAAAGTTGAGTACCTTATTTCCTTACAGTGCAACAGAGAAATATTTATAATTGAGAACCTTATCAAGAGAAATACGTTTCTTTTCTTTTTCTTTGCTTCTTCTTTTTTTTTTTTTTTTTTTTTTTTTTTTTTTTTTTTTTTTTTGGAGACGGAGTCTCACTCTATCGCCCAGGCTGGAGTGTAATGGCACAGTCTCTGCTCACTGCAACCTCTGCCCCCTGGGTCCAAGTGATTCTCCTGCCTCAGCCTCCCGAGTAGCTGCCACCATACCTGGCTAATTTTTTTTATTTTTTTTATTTTTAGTAGAGACAGGGTTTCACTGTGTTGGCCAGACTGGTCTTAAACTCCTGACCTCGTGATCCACCCGCTTCGGCCTCCTAAAATGCTGGGATTACAGTCGTGAGCCACCATGCCCAGCCAATACGTTTCTTTTTGATAACTTGAAATGAGATTTGCATAAGGTGAAAAGTGAGTGGAAATTGTAGAAGCTGAATGAGTAAGTCTTTAGACTATAGTCTTTAATCTAACTAAAGACTAAGACTAAGCCTAGAGCCTGTAGTCTTTAGACCTTTAGACTGTAGTATAGTCTTAGGCTATAGGTGCTGGGCAAGTAAGCCAGTATTGAACGTAGATTTTTCTAAGACCTGTTAAAGCAAGGGATCTTTGTTTCTTAAATTCTTCTGATATAAAAATGCTTCATTGATCTTCTTTGAAACACTGTCCTCTCATTTTTAGGTAACCTAAAGTTTTTCTCAAAAAAATATGAGAGCATTTGTTTTATGAATGAGTACTGAGAAACAAGATGAAGTGAATTGTTTTTTTTTTTTTTTCTTTTTTATTTTTATTGATCATTCTTGGGTGTTTCTCGCAGAGGGGGATTTGGCAGGGTCATAGGACAATAGTGGAGGGAAGGTCAGCAGATAAACAAGTGAACAAAGGTCTCTGGTTTTCCTAGGCAGAGGACCCTGCGGCCTTCCGCAGCGTTTGTGTCCCTGGGTACTTAAGATTAGGGAGTGGTGATGACTCTCAACGAGCATGCTGCCCTCAAGCATCTGTTCAACAAAGCACATCTTGCACCGCCCTTAATCCATCTAACCCTGAGTGGACACAGCACATGTCTCAGAGAGCACAGGGTTGGGGATAAGGTCCACAGATCAACAGGATCCCAAGGCAGAAGAATTTTTCTTAGTACAGAACAAAATGAAAAGTCTCCCATGTCTACTTCTATCCACACAGACCCAGCAACCATCCGATTTCTCAATTTTTTCCCCACCCTTCCCGCCTTTCTATTCCACAAAACCGCCATTGTCATCATGGCCCATCCCCAATGAGCCGCTGGGCACACCTCCCAGACGGGGTCGTGGCCGGGCAGAGGGGCTCCTCGCTTCCCAGTAGGGGCGGCCCGGCAGAAGTGCCCCTCACCTCCCAGATGGGGCGGCTGGCCGGGCGGGGGGCTGACCCCCCCACCGCCCTCCCGGACGGGGCGGCTGGCCAGGCAGAGGGGCTCCTCACTTCCCAGTAGGGGCGGCCGGGCAGAGGCGCCCCTCACCTCCTGGATAGGGCGGCTGGCCGGGCGGGGGGCTGTTCCCCCCACCTCCCTCCCGGACGGGGCGGCTGGCCGGGCAGAGGGGTCCTCACTTCCCAGTAGGGGCGGCCGGGCAGAGGCGCCCCTCACCTCCCGGACGGGGCGGCTGGCCAGGCAGGGGGCTGATCCCCCCACCTCCCTCCCGGACGGGGCGGCTGGCCGGGCGGGGTGCTGACCCCCCCCCACCTCCCTCCCGGACGGGGCGGCTGGCCGGGCAGAGGGGTCCTCACTTCCCAGTAGGGGCGGCCGGGCAGAGGCGCCCCTCACCTCCCGGACGGGGCGGCTGGCCAGGCGGGGGGCTGACCCCCCACCTCCCTCCCGGACTGGGCGGCTGGCCGGGCGGGGGGTTGACCCCCCCACCTCCCTCCTGGACGGGGCGACTGGCCGGGCAGAGGGGCTCCTCACTTCCCAGTAGGGGCGGCCGGGCAGAGGAGCCCCTCACCTCCCGGCCGGGGCGGCTGGCCGACACCCCCCCCCCCCGCCTCCCTCCCGGACGGGGCGGCTGGCCGGGCAGAGGGGCTCCTCACTTCCCAGTAGGGGCGGCCGGGCAGAGGAGCCCCTCACCTCCCGGACGGGGCGGCTGGCCGGGCTGGGGGCTGACCCCCCCCACCTCCCTCCCGGACGGGGTGGCTGCCGGGCGGAGACGCTCCTCACTTCCCAGACGGGGTGGTTGCCAGACGGAGGGGCTCCTCACTAAGATGAAGTGAATTGTTAATCATTCAGCACATTTGTGTCACAGTTAGATTTTGGAGTCACCCCTCAAAGTTATAATGATCTGTAATTAGCTTGAAGAAATTGTAGATTATCAAGAACTGATTAGAATCTACTTGTTTTTGCTTCTTTTGGAAATGTTGGGTATATTCTGGTCCCCTTTTACACAAAGTTTTTGAAAACTTTTTAAAATACTCTTCCACATTAGCATAGTACTATCTTTCTGATCATTTTTTCTCAATTTGATAGAGGAAAAAAGTTAGGTCAGGATAACAGAGACTGGGATATAAAAGTCAATTGGGCTAATCTACCACTTGACTGATTTTATTCTTCCACTAAAACTTCCAGACAAGCTGAAATGAGAGTTAGATGTCATCTCCTCAAATAGTTTTCCACATACTTTTGTGCTTCCAGTGAATGAACCAACCTAATTTTGAATCCAGAGTGAACATAAAGTAGCAAATATGACAATGAAGTGCTTTTAAGATGCATTTATTTCCCCAGTCATATTGCCTTCATAAGACTTTTTTTTTTTTTTTTGAGACAGGGTCTCGCTCTGTCCCCCAGGCTGGAGTACAGTGGTATGATCTCTGCTCACTGCAACCTCCACATCATGGGTTCAAGCAGTTCTTCTGCCTCAGCCTCCCGAGTAGCTGGGATTATAGGCTCCCGCCACCACAGCCAGCTAATTTTTGTATTTTTAGTAGATAACGGGGTTTTGCCATGTTGGCCATGCTGGTCTTGAACCCTTGACCTCAAGTGATCTGCCTGCCTCTGCCTCCTAAAGTGCAGGGATTAACAGGTGTGAGCCACCGCACCTGGCCCATAAAAAATTTTGATTATTCATATAGGAAAGGTAAAAATAACTCAGCCTTCACCTAGCTGCCGTATATCTAGTCACTGGTTTTGGTACTTCATCTGTTTTGATAATCTGTTTTTAATTTGGATCACCTGGATACTCTCTATATATTTTTAAGAACTAATTTTTTTAAGATCTGGAGAAGTAACTTCTATAGAACAGGAATGACTATTTTAGGTTATAATACAATACTTGCTGTGAGTCATCAGCGAATCTCAGTTTTCATGGTTTTCTAAAATAAACTCATTTAAAGAATATGTAATGGGAAGTGTCATATTTTAAACTACCCCATTTTATTATTTATTTATTATTTTTGTAAAAACTTACAGACTCACTGTTAAAACAACTCAAAGGAGAATCTTAACAATGGTAGAAAGTAAAAATTCCCACCCAGAGGAAATCTCTTTTAAATTTTTGAGCATCTTCCCATATTTTCCCATGAGTGGGATCATACTGTGTATGTTGTTCAATAGCCTATTATTTTCTGTTAATAGAATATTACAAATAGCAAATTTCTGAATGAAAAAATATTAGAATCAATTTAGAATTGTTTGTGAATAAAGTTTTTATTTCTGGAAATACTGAATCAACTCATTTGAAACCTTGGTTATAAGTTTCTTACGTTTAATGGAAAGGAAATAATTTCTAAGAGTACTAATATTTAATTTCATGGAAATTATATGTGAATCTCTTGGAAAATCCAATTTAAAGAATGTGCCGTTTTAAAAAATATATATAATATTTTATATAATTTCCAGGGTTCTTGGATTTCCCCACCACCACCATCCCAAAGCCCGTTTATGCTGATGGTAGAAGGAAGTGGGATGTCTGTAGAGCTTAGGTCCTGCTCTAGAGACTTGAACACCTTGTTTTTGTTTGTTTGAGACAGGGTCTTGCTCTGTCACCCAGGCTAGAGTGCAGTGGTGCAATCTCCTCACTGCAACTTCTGCCTCCTGGTTCAAGCAATTCTCCTACCTCAGTCTTCTGAGTAGCTGGGATTACAGGTACGAGCCACCACGCCTGGCTAATTTTTGTATTTTTAGTAGAGACGGGGTTTCGCCATGTGGGCCAGCTTGGTCTCGAACTCCTGGCCTCAAGTGATCTGCCCACCTTGGCCCCCCCAAAGTGCTGGGATTACAGGTGTGATCCACCATGCCCAGCCCAGTTAATTTTTTGAAATAAAAAATAGCAGTAGTTGCGGATATACTTACATTTGAATGGTAATTGATTAAAACATGGATGTATTTAAGTTCTTGAAAGTTTTAGTTAGTATTGTAGGGGTTTTCTTAAAATAATACATACATTTATATATTAGAACATTATCAAACTGGCAGTGCGTATGTGTTCTAATTTCCTGAAATACGATGTCTACAATTTTTTCCCACCATTTTCAATTTTAATGAAATCACAGAACCTTAATAAGTCATATTTAGTCACAGTGCTGTGAATCATTTGTTAATAAACATTTCCATTGTTACTTTATAATAGCCTGCTCTCTAAAGTTTCAAATAAAAGCTGATTTTAGATTTTTAGTTATTAATGTTCTAGGGGTATTGCCAAAAAAAGCTACATGTCCTATATTCTGTGCCAGTTTCTTAAATTAGAATCTTGGATTGCATCCTCAGCGTGTCACTGTAGTGGTATTGCTGGGTTGCTATGATACAGTGCTTGTTCTATAATTTGTAGCATGAATCCTATATGAGATCTTACTTTAGATTTCAAGTATGTTAGCAGCAGTAATTAGGGATGTTTTCCTCTAAGGAAAATTATAGTTATAAAATTATTATTTGTTAGAAATGATTCCTGCTACTTCAAATTATTTATCCTTAAATGTAGAGGATTAACAATGAACAACTTGAAATAACTTGGTTATCACCTCAGAAGTTTAGTTTATCACTGATTTAATGAAGAAGGGCAAGAAGAGGAAGGCTTTATGATAATGAGTATGTATATTAAGATTTCAGTGTTCTACTTGGTATTTGAAATCTTGAGGAGAGAAATGAATAGAGACTAGATTTTCTGGGAAGATGCATTTGAAACAGTACAAGCAAAACCACATTACAGGGGAAAACTACAAATTATCTTACTGTATTGTATTAAAAATTCGGTGAACTGTTCTTAAAACCAACCCTCTGTGGCCATCTTAATAAGCTATTGTTACTACCTCTTTTTCATTTTATGTGTTGGTTTTAGTATTTCATTTACATGTTCCTTGAAAATTTTTATTAATCTAATTTAGTATTATAAGTTATAGGAAACATAAAGACAAAACTAGTGGATTCTGTGTATGTGTTGTATACACATTGGTGGTGGAATGAAGTTTATATGATTATTGGTCAGTGGCATTGCTGCAATTGATCTTTAAACTTTTAGTGTCTCTCAGCAATGTTTTGGGTATTTGATTTGAAAGTATTTTAGAGACCAGAGCTTAAAACAGCTCTATTGAGATATAATTCATACACCATGTAATTCCCCATTTAAAGTATACAATTCCATGGCTTTTAGTATATTCACAGACATGTGCAACTACCACAGTCAATTTTAGAATAGTTTTATCATCTCAAAAAGATATCCCATGCCCTTTAACTGTCACCCCCTATTCCTTTAGGGATTCCTTGAGTAACCATTAATTTACTTTCCGTCTCTAGATTTCCCTATTCTGGACATTTCATGTGAATGGAATATTATAATATGTCGTCTTTTGTAATAGGCTTCTTTCATTCACTTTGCATAATGTTTTCAAGGATTTATTCATGTTGTAGCATGTGTTAGTACTTCATTCCTTTTTATGGCTGAATAATATTCTATTGTATGGTTATACCATGTTTTATTTATCCATTCCTCACTCGATGGACATTTCAGTTCTTTCTACTGTTTGGTTATGAATAATGCTGCTATGAACATTTGTATACAAGTTTTTGTGTGGACATATGTTTTCATTTCTCTTGGGTATATGTAGGAGTGGAACTGCTCGGTCATAAGGTAATTCTGGGCTTAGTCACTTGATAAATTGCCACAGTTTTTTCCATAGTGGCTGCACTATTTTACACTCCCACTTGTGGTATGTGAGGATTTTCATCGCTCCACATCCTTACCAGTACTTCTTATTTTGACTTTCTGATTATAGCCATCCTAATGGATGTGAACTAGTATCTCTTCGTGGTTATGATTTGCATTTCCCTAATTACTAATGATGTCAAGTGTCTTTGAACATGCTTATTGGCCATTTGTATATGTTCCTTGGAGAAATGACTCTTTAGATCCTTTGCCCACTTTTGAATTGTTATTTGTCTTTTTATCGAGTTGTAAGAATTCTTTATATGTCCTTGATATAAGCCCCTTGTGTCTTTTCACTTTCTTGGTGGTATCCTTTGAAGCGCAAATGTTTTAAATTTTGAGTAAGTCTAAATTCTCTTTTTTCTTGTTACTTGTGCTTTTGGAGTCATTTCTAAGGATCCTTTCCCAGATATGAGGCTATGAAGATTTACTCTGTGTTTTCTTCTAAGAATTTTGTAATTTTAACCTTTACATTTAGGTCTTTGGCCATTTTTAGTTAATTTTTATATAGGGTATGACTTAAGGATTCAAATTCATTATTTTGTGTGTAGTTATCACATTTATCTCCACACCACTTGTTGAAAATACTTCTTTCCCCGTTAGATGGTCTTGGCCCTTTTGTTGAAAATTAGCACATGGTTTTATTTCTGGATTCTCAATTCTATCCCATTGATCTGTATGTCTGTTCTTGTGTCAGTACCACACTGTCTTGATTACTTGTTTTATATAGTAAGTTTTGAAATGGGATAGTGTGAATCTTCCTACTTTGTTTTTCTTTTTCAGGATTGTTTCGGCTGTTATTGGGTTATTTATAATTGCAAAGTTAAGTTTTTGATTTAAGATCTTTTGTTCTTTCTTCTCTAGACATTTATAGCTATATCTTTCTCTCTAAACACCCTTAAATTTTGGTATGTTATGTCTTCATTTTCATTTGTCTCAACGTATTTTTTATTTTCTTTTAGGTTTCTTCTTTGACACATTAGTTGTTTAAGAATCACTTAATTTCCAAAGATTTTTGAATTTCCCAAAAATGTTTTAACTTCTCTTTTTTAAGAGATGGGGTCAGCCAGGTGCGGTGGCTCTCCTATAATGCCAGCACTTTGGGAGGCCGAGGTGGGTGGATCACCTGAGGTTGGGAGTTCAAGACTAGCCTGACCAACGTGGAGAAACCCCGTCTCTTCTTAAAATACAAAATTAGCCGGGGTGGTGGCGCATGCCTGTAATCCCAGCTACTTGGGAGGCTGAGGCAGGAGAATCGCTTGAACCTGGGAGGAGGAGGTTGTGGTGAGCCGAGATCACGCCATTACACTCCAGCCTGGGCAACAAGAGCGAAACTCCATTTCAAAAACAAACAAAAAAAGAGATGGGGTCTCGCTATGTTGCCCAGGCTTGAGTGCAGTGGCCGTTCACAGATGCTATAATAGTATGCTGTGGCCTCTTAACTCCTGGCCTCAAAGGGATCCTTGTTGCCTAAGCCTCTCAAGTAACTGAGCTTACAGGTACATGCTACCAAGGCCGGCCCCAGTTTTTTTTTTTTTTTTTTGAGAACAGAGTCTCACTCTGTTGCCCAGGCTGGAGTGCAGTGGCATGATCTCGGCTCACTGCAACCCCCACCTCACAGGTTCAAGCGATTCTCCTGCCCCAGCCTCCTGAGTAGCTGGGACTACAGGCACACACCACCATGCCTGGCTAATTTTTGTATTGTTAGTAGAGATGGGGTTTCACCATGTTGGCCAGGATGGTCTTGATCTCCTGACCTCATTAGCCACCCACCCCTGCGTCCCTGAGTGCTGGGATTACAGGTGGGAGCTGCCACACCCGGCCCCCAATTTTTTTTTTTTTTTTTTTTTGAGACGGAGTCTCGCTCTCTGTCAGGCTGGAGTGCAGTGGCTCCATCTCAGCTCACTGCAAGCTCCGCCTCCCGGGTTCACGCCATTCTCCTGCCTCAGCCTCCCAAGAAGCTGGGACTATAGGCGCCCGCTACCACGCCTGGCTAATGTTTTGTATTTTTAGTAGAGATGGGGTTTCACCGTGTTAGCCAGGATGGTCTCTATCTCCTGACCTTGTGATCCTCCCAAAGTGCTGGGATTACAGGTGTGAGCCACCGCGCCCGGCTCCAGCCCCCAATTTTTTAATGTTACTGATTTCTAACTTCATTCCTTTGTGGTCAGAGAACATAGTTTGTATTTCTGTTCTTTTAAAATTTTTGAGGTTTGTTTTATTATCTGGTATGTGGTCTGGTCTTTCCTGGTGGATGTACCATGTGTGCTTGAGAATATATATTCTCCTGTTGTTGGGTGGAGTGTTCTATAGTGAGTATAAATTCTGTAGTGTTCCATAGACACCTCTTAGGTGTGGTTGGTTTATGTGTGTTCAAAGTCTTCTTCTTGTTGATCTTCCACCTAATTGTTCTATCCATTATTGAAAGTGGGGTGTTGAAGGCTTCAACTATCATTGCTTTTGAATTTTCTATTTCTCTCTTTGTTTCTGTCAGTTTTTCTTCATATATTTTGGTACTGTGTTAATAGGTGCAAATATGTTTATAATTGTTACCCTCTTCCTGAAAGACTGACCCTTCTATCATTACAAAATGACTCTCTTTAGATATGAGATAAAGAGTATCTTTATATAATGATATTTATATCTAAATAAGATATAAAGATGAAAAATAATATATATCCAAACAGCCACAAGAAAACTGGAGTGGCTATACTAATGTTAGGAATAACACTCAAAATCCTAAGGAAATTGAACACTTGAACAAAGGATTCTTAGCAAAGCAATTTTACTTCTGCACAGAGGGTGCCTCCCTGGCCAGTTGTCCTGAGAGCACACCTGAACAAAGGGGCACGAGAGCCTTTATTCCTGATGCAAGTCCTGCCCCTGTACCCTTTCCCCATTGGCCGGGGTCGGGTCGTACAATCTAAACTAATCCTGGTTGGCTAAACATTGTATTTTTTTTAGATAGGGTGGGCACGTAAAGGAAAGTGGAGAGAATAGGGGAAGGGGTGTCTGTAATGAGCCATAAAGTTAGTCCTCTTTCCAAATAAGGAAAGGAATGTGAGCTGGTACTGATAACACTTGGTAGTGTGGCGTGCCTGGGCATTTAACAAAGGCAAGAAGGGAAAAGGGGAAAAAAGGAGAAGAATGGAGGGGGGGTAACTACGAATTAAAAAATAAAAGATTGATCAGATTATTTGAAGAGAAACCTCATCATATCCCACACTAATATCAAACAAAACAGACTTTAAAAATATATACAGTTTGATATATATATCTATTTAAGATATGAGACAAAAGTTTTCTGTATATGTCAAACATTTACCTATTTTTTTAAAGTCTGTTTTATCTAATACTGGTATAGCCACTCCAGCTTTCTTATGGTTGTTTACATGATATATTATTTTTCATCTTTTTATTTTCAATCTACTTGTATTTTTAAATTTAAATTGTATCTTCTGGAGACTTAGATCATTTTTTAAAAATTCAGTTTGACAATCTCTACCTTTTGATGGGCTTGGTTAATCCATTTACATTTATTTATTTATTTATTTATTTATTTATTTATTGAAACAGAATCTTCCTCGGTCACCCAGGATGGAGTGTAGTGGCGCGATCTCCACTCACTGCAACCTCTGCTGCCAGGGTTCAAGCAATTCTCCTGCCTCAGCCTCCCGAGTAGCTGGGCTTACAGGTACCTGCCACCATGCCTGGCTAATTCTTTTTGTAGTTTTTAGTAGAGACAGGGTTTCACCATCTTGGCCAGGCTGGTCTTGAACTCCTGACCTTGTGATCCACCCACCTGTGCCTCCCAAGTGCTGGGATTACAGGCGTGAGTCACCATGCCCCTCCGGTTAATCCATTTACACTTAATGTAGTTGTTCATATAGTTGGATTTATGCCTGCCATTTTACTTTCCGTTTTCTCTGTCCCTCATGTCTTTTTTTGTTCTCTATTGTATTCTTTTTCTGTTTTCTTTAGTATTAAGTGAATATTTTCTAATGCAGCATTTAAACTTGTGTAATGATTATTTTTCACTACATATTTTTGAGAGTTTTTTTTTTTTAGTGGCTGCCCTTGGGTTTATTATATGCATTTTAACTTATTAGAATCAGCTTCAAATTTATACAAGCTTTGTTCTAGTGAGATGTAGAATCATTATTCCTATATGCCTCTGTTTCCTTTCCTCCTTTTTTGTGATATTAGTGTTATATAATATCTGTTAATGTTACAACCCCGAGAATATATTGTTATAATTATTACTTTACCATCAGTAGTTATTTCTTTAATGCAGCACAACTTTCCTCCCACCTCCTCCTTTGTGCTGTTATTAGCAAATACATTACATTTCTATGTATCAACCGTCCAATGGTACATTATATAATATTATTTTGTGTAATGGCTGTTAAAATCAGGTAAGAGAAGAAAGAAAAATAGGCACTTATAATGTACTTTATAGTTACATAATTATCTTTACTGGTGCTCTATGTTTTTAAATACAGATTTCAAGCTATCATTGGTGGTCATATGCTTGAGCCTGAAGGAAATCCTTTAGTGTTTCTATAAGGTAGAACAGCTAGCAAAAAATTCTTCGTTTTTATTTATTTGGGAACGTCTTCATTTTGCCTTCATATTTTAAAGATTTAAATACTTCTCGAGATACGGTCTCGCTCTAGTGCCCAGGCTGGAGTGCAGTGGCGTGATCTTGGCTCACTGCAACCTCTGCCTCCTGAGCTCAAGTTATCTTCTTGCCTCAGCCTCCAAGAAGTTATCTTCTTGCCTCAGAATATCTGCCACCACACCTGGCTAATTTTTGTATTTTTTTGTAGAGACAGGTTCTCAACTGTTGCCCAGGCTGATCTTGAACTCCTGAGTCCACCTGCCTCAGCTCCCAAGCCTTCATTTTTGAAAGATCGTTTTATTGGATATAGGATTTTTGGTGACAAGTTTTTGTTTTTCTTTGAGCACTTTGAATATGTTATTCCACTGTTTTCTGGCCTCAGTTGTTTTTGCTAAGAAGTCAATTGTTATCTTAGCCCTTGAAAGTAACTAGTTGTTTTTCTCTTGGTGCTTTCAAGGTTTTCTCCTTGTCTTTGACTTTCATCATTTTTACTGTGATGTTTATTTGTGGATCTTGTTGAGTTTATCCTTCTTGGAGTTTCTTGTGTTAGGTTTATGTTACTCAATACATTATGTTGGTACACTTTTTTTTTTTTTTTTGAGATGGAGTCTTGCTCTGTTGCCCAGGCTGGAGTATAGTGGCATGATCTTGGCTCACTGCAACCTGTGCCTCTCAGGTTCAAGTGATTCTCCTGCCTCACCCTCTTGAGTAGTTGGGACTACAGGCACCTGCCACCATGCCCGGCTAATTTTTGTATTTTTAGTAGAGACAGAGTTTTGCTATGCTGGCTAGGCTGGTCTCAAACTCCTGACCTCAGGTGATCCTCCCGCCTCGGCCTCCCAAAGTGCTGGGATTACAGGCCTGAGCCACCGCACCTGGCTGTGTGTTGGTACACTTAATGGTGTCCTATAGGTCTCTGAAGTTCTGTTTATTTTTCTTCATTCTTTTTTCTTTCTGTTCTTCAGATTGCATAATTTCTGTTGATGTATTTTCAAGTTCCCCAATTCTTTCTAATGCCAGTTCTCGTCTCCTCATGGGTCCCTTTAGTTTATTTTGCTATTATGTTTTTCAACTCCAGGATTTTCATTTTATTCCTTTTTTCTTTTTGTAAATTCTATCTCTTTATGATATTCTCTGTTTGATGTAACATTGTCATCATACCTTTCTTCTTTTTTTATGGTGAAAAGATATATATATATATTTAGCCAGCTAGACTCAGTTTAGATGATCTCGATTTTGTTGGCAACATCCAAAGCATTGTAATCAGGAGCCAGTCAAACATATGCCTTCTTCTCTCCATCAGGCCGAATCAGGGTGTTGACCTTGGCCACATTGGTGTCATAGAGCTTCTTCACAGCCTGTTTAATCTGGTGCTTGTTGGCTTTAACATCCACAATGAACACAAGTGTATTGTTGTCTTCTATCTTCTTCATGGCAGACTCAGTGGTCAGCGGAAACTTGATGATAGCATAGTGGTCAAGTTTGTTTCTCCTGGGGGCGCTCTTCCGAGGATATTTGGGCTGCCTCCGGAGTCGCAGTGTCTTGGGCCGCCGGAAGGTGGGTGACGTGCGGATCTTCTTTTTTTTGTGGCTGTGGACACCTTTCAACATTGCCTTTTTGGCCTTTAAAGCCTTCGCTTTGTCTTCGGCTTTAGAAGGGGCAGGAGCTTCCTTCTTCGCTTTCGGCGCCATCTTGTGAAAAGCCCTTCTTTACTTCTTTAATCATAGTTTAGTTCTTTGAACATATATAATGACTACTTTAAAGTCATATATTCTGTTAAATCCAACATACGGTCACTCTCACAGGCAGGTTCTACAACCTTCTTTTTTTCTGGCACATGGGTTATATTTTTCCTGTTTCTTTGTGCGTTTTGTTATTAACTGGACATTTAAAATAACAGGTATCCAACCTTTTGGCTTCCCTGGGCCACATTGGAAGAATTGTCTTGGGCCACACATAAAATACACTAACACTAACGATAGCTGACGAGCTAAAAGAAAAAAAAAAGTTCATGCATAATTTTTGTGATACCCACCACCACAGATAAGCAAAAAAGTCCTCACATCCTAAGGGTTGGACTCGGCTGTTTTAAATAATATATTGTAGCAACTCTTGGTACCAACCTTGTTATTGTCACTTGTTTGTTTAGTGACTGGGTGTAGTTTTCCCCCATACTTTGTAAAGCCTCTGATCTTGTTCCTCAGAGAGGTGCAGCTTTGGATATGCCCAGGCACCTTGGGATGACAGTGGTTTTGGCAGGGTTCTCTTTGTCTTTTCCTGACCATACTCCCAGCTGTTAAGTTCCATTGATTTTCAGCTGATTGCTCAATTGTTTTCAATAATGCTTTGGGGCACACATTGTTCTACAGACTAATCCAATCAAATCCAGGCTCCTTTGAAGGAATAGTTCCCAAGGTCAGTATGTGATATTTGTTCTAACATCAGGAGGGCTCCACACTGCTGGGTTTTTTTTTTTGTCTCTCCTGAAAAATAACTAGCCTACAGTTTAGTCTGTATCCTCATTGAATTTACAGATCTCCCCATTATCTTTCACCAAAACCTCCACTGTTTTTAAGAGTACCCTTAGGCTTGAACATTTTTTTTAATGCCCTGTTGTAAAGAAGTCAGTTGTTTTGGGAAAAGATGAAGAGCTAACTGTTTTATGGCCTACTTCTCCCCCATCCCCCACAAAATCTCTGGAGTCGGGGCTCAGAGCTGGGAGTGGGGACAATTGTATGCTTCTTTCTGAAACCCTGCTTTAGAAGCTGAGCAGTTTGGGGAAGTGGGAGCAGCAGCCCGAGGTCTTCTTTTTGGCTTGCCTCTTCCAGTGTGGAATCACAACTTTATAGGCCAGAACAAAGGTGATTGAGGCCCCAGTTATTTTTTTAGCAGTGTTGCACAAAAGGTAGAGCCTCTGCCCCATGCGTGGAGGTTGGGCAGAAGAAAGGAGGCCTGCCTTTCAGTTGCACTTGTCTAGAACTTATCCTCAGCAACAATAAGTTGCTGTGGAAAGGATGAGAAATGCTGATAGGTCCTACTCCTTACCTAAAGATGTCTGGGAGCTAGAAGTAGAGGAAGAGCCCTGTGTTCTCCTCTGCGTCTCTTTGAAGTAGGGTTTCTACATAGCTGAGCCAAGGGGGAAGGAGCTCTCTTGCTTAAAATACAGTCATGTGCTGCATAACGATGTTTTGGTCCATGACGTGGTATATAGGATGGTGGTCCCAAAATATTACAGTGGAGCTGAAAAATTCCTGTCCCCTAGTGATGTAGCTTTAGTTCATAGAACAAGGCATGACTCACATGTTTATGGTGATGCCAGTGTAAAAAAACCAGCTGCACTATCATATAAAAGTATATATAGCTGCCAGGCATGGTGGCTCAAGCCTATCCCAGCACTTCGGGAGGCTGAGGCAGGCGGATCACGAGGTCGGGAGATCGAGACCATCCTGGCTAACACGGTGAAACCCCGTCTCTACTAAAAATACGAAAAATTAGTCGGGTGTGGTGGCAGGCGCCTGTAGTCCCAGCTGCTCCCGGAGGCTGAGGCAGAAGAATGGCATGAACCCGGGAGGCGGAGGCAGTGAGCCATGATCGTGCCACTGCACTCCAGCCTGGGCGACAGAGCAAGACTCCGTCTCAAAAAAAAAAAAAGTATATATAGCATATACAATTATGTACAATACATAATACTTGATAATAAATGTTACTGGCTTATGTATTTATTATACTATTTTTATCATTATTTTAGAGTGTGCTCCTTCTACTTATTACAAAAAAAAAAGTTAGCTGTAAAGCAGCCTCAGGCAGGCCCTTCAGGAGGTATTCTAGAAGATGTGGAGATGAGACAGTGACGTAGATGATCCTGACCCTGGGTAGGCCTAAGCCATCTGTGTTTGTGTCTTAGTTTTTAACAAAAAAGTTTAAAAAGTTAAAAAGTCTGAAAAATAGAAAAAAGCTTATAGACTACTGATAGAAAAAATATTTTTATACAGCTGTACAGTGTGTGTTTTAAGCTATGTTATTGCAAAAGAGTAAAAAAGTTAAAATTTTAAAGTTTATATAAAGTTACAGTAAGCTAAGGTCATTATTGGAGAAAGAAAATGTTTTAAATAAATTTAGGGTAGCCTAAATATACCGTTTATAAAGTCTATAGTAGTGTACAGTAATGTCCTAGGCCTTCACATTCACTCACCACTTACTCATCCAGAGCAACTTCCAGTCTTGTAAGCTCTATTCATGTTAAGTGTCCTAGACAGATGTGCCATTTTTAAATCTTTTATACCATATTTTTTATTGCACCTTTCTATATTTGGATACACTTACAGTTGCCTATAGTATTTAGTATAGTAGCATGCTGACAGTTTTGTAGCCTAGGAGCAGTAGGCTCTACCATATAGCCTAGGCGTGTAGTAGGCTGTGCCATCTAAGTTTGTGTAAAACATTCTGATATTCACACAATGATGAAACTGCCTGAGGATGCATTCTCAGAATGTATTTCTGTCATTTTAAGTGATGCATGACTGTACCACTAGCTCTTGGTATTCTAACTGAATTTTCATAGATATTCCTGAATAGATATTTTTTTGCTGTTTGCCCTTAGGACCATTTCAGAGGCTATAAAAATGGCTGTTTTAAACATAACTTCTATCAGTTTCCCTGGTGAGTAGGCCTGTGGAACTTCTCACCTTGTCTTGTCAGAAGTTGATCTCCCTCTGGACTAGAATTTTAGCTTTTTTTGTAGTAATAATTAGTATCTTAGCCTTATTTAGGATTTCATAGCTTTCAGGTACATAATCATGCCAATAAATCTGAAAACCTAAGAGGAGATGGGAGAATTCCTTGAAATAAACAGCTTTCTGAAACTGACACAAGAAGAAACAAAAATCTGAATAGTTATGTATCTCTTTGACTGATTCCTAATTTAAAACCCCAACAGGGAAATTACAAGAAAATTATAGACCAATATCCCTTATGAACATAGATTTTTTTAAAGTTGTATACAAAATATTAACAAATTGAATTTGAAATATATAAATAGAATGAGATATTTTGATAATGTGGGATTTATGCCAGGAATGCAAGGCTGGTTTTACATTAAAAAAATGATTTGTTACATAAATAGAATAAAATAAAAATTATCACTTCAACATAAATAGAGAAAATAGAAAGTTCCTTCTCTGTATAGTTGCCTTCTGTTTAGTACTTTCCTATGCAAATCCTAGCCACCTCAGTAGCCCTATCTCTAGTCTTTATTTTGCTCATTAAATCTGTTGTTCTTTTAGGGTTTCTTTTTCCTGTGCTTTCTCTCTCTGGAGAGCCCTAGCAGATAGGGAGCTGGTGCGATTGTGGGGCTTTGTTTTCCTTCCCACAGCGATCACAGTCCTGTACTGCCTGTTTTCTAGCATCTGAAAACAATTGTTTTATATATTTTGTTCAGTTTTTAGTAGTTTACAGTGGAAAGGATAGTCTTCTGGAAGAAGTCTTGCCCACACTTTTTGTCATTCTTACCCAATAGGTATAAAGTGATGTATGACATTTCATGTATAAATTCGTGTATACTGTTTATACATACTTACATTTTTTTGGTTACCAGTGTGGTTGAATATCTTTTCATATACTTATCGGTCATTTATGTTTCATGTGACCTTTTTTTCCTATAGATTTTGGGTTTTTTTCTTAATGATTTGTAGGTGTTCTTTTGTACATTCTGTATACCAATTTCTTGTCCACATTTAATTTTTTAGTTCTTTCGGAACTAATTTTTGTGTGTGAAGGAAGGATCTAATTTTAATTTTTTTCATATGAGTAGCTGGAATAATTTATTGAACTTTAAATATTTCCTACTGACTTTAAAAAAAAAAACACCAACCGTATTATATACTAACCTTTTGTATGTGTACACTGGCATGTTTCTAAGTGCCTTATTTTTTTTTCCTCAGTGGTCTGTGAATTCCTGCACAACACCATGTGGTTTTAATTACTAAATGTGGTAAGATGACTCTTCCCTTCTTCATGTTAAAAATCATCTTGGCTATTCTTGGCACTTTATTTTTCCAGACGCATTTTTAAGAACAACTCTAATGGTTCCACCAAAATACCCTATTGAGAATTTAATCTGAATTGTATTCCTTGTATAGATTCATTGGGGGAAAACATTGATTCTTCTCATCCATGAATATAATATATCTCCATTTATTTATCTCTTTCATACATTTCAAGAATGTTTTATAATTATATTCATAAGAGCTTTGCTTGTTTTTCGTTAGACTTCTCAGATTCATTGCCCTTGGAACACAGTTACCATATTATGAGGGAGCTCAGACCGCATGGAGAGGCTATATGTTGGAGGTTCTGGTACTAGCCCCAGCTAGTCTGTCAGCCAAAAGCCAGCAACTACCAGACATAAGAGTTATTTAGCCTTCTCAGAATTCCATCCTCTAGTTTTCTAGTCCTTTAGCTGAGGCCTTAGACATCATGGAGCAGAGATAAGCTATCCCTGTTCTATCCTTTCTGAATCCCTGACACAAAGAAATTGAGAAAGGTAGTTTTTTTTTGTTGTTGTTGTTTTTTTAAGATGGGTTCTTAAAAAACCCATCTTAAACTCCAGTACTGTTGTCCAGGCTGGAGTGCATGATCACAGCTTATTGCAGCCTCAACCCTCTGGCCTCAAGCAGTCCTCCCACTTCAGCCTCCAAGTAGCTGGAACTACAGGTGTGTGCCACCAAGCCTATTTTTTTTTTTTTTTTTGAGATGGTGTCTCGCTGTGATGCCCAGGGTGAAGTGCAGTGGCTCAAGTCTCAGCTCACTGCAAACTCCACTTCCCGGGTTCAAGCGATTATCCTGCCTCAGTCTCCTGAGTAGCTGGGACTACAGGCACGTGCCACCATGCCTGGCTAATTTTTTTTTTTGTATTTTAGTAGAGATGAGGTTTCACCATATTGGCCAGGTTGGTCTCAACTCCTGACTTGAAGTGATCCGCCCACCTCAGCCTCCCGAAGTGTTGGGATTACAGGCATGAGCCACTGTGCCCAGCCAAGTGTAGCTAAATTTTAAATTTTTCGTAGAGACAAGTTCTTGCTGTGTTGCCCAAGTTGGTCTTCAACTCCTGGGCTCAAGCAGTTCTCCTGCCTCAGCCTCCCAAAGTGTTGGGATTACAGGCATAAGCCACCACGCCCAGCCTAATAATTGTTTTAAGCCACAGAATTTTGGGATAATTTGTTACTAAGAATAGAAAATGAATACCCCAGGCATCATTATGCTTATGTTATGATTTGGCTTGTTTTATAACTTTTCCTATGGGAACACATAATCAGAATATTCTAATATAGTATATGGGGAATAGTTTCTCATCCTGAATTAATAAATTAGTATTTATTACTGTCTTATGAGCTTGGAGAATTTGTATTTGTATTATGTATGATTTTTAAAAACATACCTGAGTTTGTAAGGCAGAGGAATAGACTCAGACATTGAAAATTCATCATGAACACTATGCTTCTTGGGAAACTGGACTTACTGTCTATTGAGAGTGTACTAACATCCCTGTGTGGTTGAGAATGAGGTTTCATTTTCCATGACATTTCTGTAGTCAGATATATATTACACAGAGTTATAACACCCAAACTTGTCTTAAAGACCTCTTAATTTAGTTGTACAGTCTTCCTAAGTAGGTTTCATAAATCGACATTAAAGAACATAATGTAAAACTTCTTTGCAACATTTTCCTAAAGATTCTAATTTACTTCGAAAAATTCTCACAAAGTTTGCTAATATTGAATGAGTCATTGAAATAAGCCAGGCTATATACTCAACTATGTAGATTTTATTATTTCTCTGATATTTTAATTTTATGTAAATATGAAGTATACATACAAGTACATCTCATTGTATTGTGCTTCACTGTATTGCATTTCCCAGATATTGTGTGTTTTATTTTTTTAAAACAAATGGAAGGTTTTTGGCAAACCTGCATTGAGCAAGTCTGTTGGTCCCATTTTTCCAATAGCATGTGCTCGCTTTGTGTCTCTGTGTCACATTTTGGAGATTCTCTCAATATATATCTGTTATGATCGCCTCCAATTAGTGATCTTTAATGTTACTATTGTAATTGTTTTGGGGCATCATGAACCATAGCCATATAAGATGTCACACTTAATCAGTAGGTGTTGTTTGTGTTCTGATGGCTCCACCAACTGGCCATTTCCTGGTCTTTCTTCCTCTCCTTGGGCCTCCCTATTCCCTGAGACACAACAAAATTGAGATTAGGCCAATTAAATACCTCTGCAATGGCTGCTAAGTGTTGAAGTGAAAGGAAGAGTCTCACACCTCACTTTAAATCAGAAGCTAGAAATGATTAAGCTTAGTGAGGAAGGCATGTTGAAAGCTGTGATTGGCCAAAAGCTAGGCCTCTTGTACCAAACAGCCAAGTTGTGAATGCAAAGGAAGAGCTCTTGAAGGACATTAAAAGTGCTACTCCAGTGACCGCATGAATGATAGGAAAGCAAAACAGCCTTATTGTTGATTTGGAGAAAGTTTGAGTGGTCTGAATAGAAGATCAAACAGCCATAACATTTCCTTAAGCCAAAGCCTAATCCAGAACATGTCTAAAAATGCCCTTCCTGAACCTCTGTACTTAATTGATAGTTGACTAGTTACAGAGTTCTAGACTGGCATTAGAATTCTAATAGGATAGCCCCATTATCTTCTGGCATGACTTCTGCTGATAAGAAATTCCATGGATATTTAACCTTTGTGGGTGACTTTTTTTTTTTTTTTTTTTTTTTTTTAATCTGAAAGCTTTTATTCTTCTCTCCTGGGCATCTGAATTTTCAGTAATGTGCTAAATTATCCCTTTGGGATCATGTATTTCTCTGTATTTGGTTTTATGTCATGTTGCAGTCTCTGGCGATCCTTTATTTTCCATTAATATGTATGGATAAACAAAAAATTACTGTAAGAGTTGGTTGGGGCTTATTGATTATCTGGTTTTGTTTAGAGTAATTGGTTAGGGATCTAGTTACATGCTGGAATGTAGGAACCTCCTCTGGCACTGTTCAGTTTCTTTAGGGAAGAACCTTCTAATTTTCTTTTGTCTGAAGCGTGAATGCTTGACTGTCTTTTGGAGTGGGATGGTAGACTCTTCAGCAAGTCCAGACTTTTATTTAATCCCCCATTTCAGTTCATGTCTTAATCCTTTCCACTGTTTCACTAGATATTTCTTAATCTTGAACTAATCTGAAGTTCTGTAGGACCCTTGCCTGTATTCCCCCTTTTTATTCTAGGACTTGACTTCCTCTTAGTTTTGCCAGTTACCACTTCTCTACCTACTTTGAGTTTTCGCTGAAATTTGTTGAAGTCTCTTGCCTATGGGCCTATTTTTCTGTTCTCTGTTATTGTGGGTTTTTATCTCTTTTTTTTGGTGGGGGGTCTACTCTCATTTTAGAGGGAAGGGGAGAAAAACAAAATTGCCATTTTTAACTGATATGTACTGTGAATCTCTAATGGGTAACGATTTAGAATACAGCTTTTAAAGGAACATTTGATATTTCAAAAACAGTATTCTCATACCCAGCTTCAGTACAAATTTGCTTTATGATCTTGGGCATGCTGTGTAGTGTGGGATCCTGAAGTACTTCACATACTGTAAAGCAGTGGTTTTCAAACTCGTTTTCACTGCAGACTATAGTGAGAAACACATTTTACTTCATAACTTACATACTTCCATGACATAATATCCTTACGTGCAATACACTCTGATTTTTTTTTTTTAAACTCTTGATTGTGACCCACTAACTTGATCTTACTGCCCACCAATGGCGTGCAACCTACACTTTGAAAAACAGTATACTAGAGCAGTATTTCTTAAAAGTGTGAGCCAGGGCCAGGTTCAGTGGCTTACGCCTGTAATCCCAGCATTTTAGGAGGCCGAGGCAGGCGGATCACAAAGTCAGGAGTTCGAGACCAGTCTGGCCAAGATGGTGAAACCTCGTCTCTACTAAAAATACAAAAATTAGCTGAGTGTGGTGGTGGGCGCCTGTAGTCCCAGCTACTTGGGAGGCTGAGGCAGGAGAATCGCTTGAACCTGGGAGGCAGAGGTTGCAGTGAGCTGAGACTCAATCTCAAAAAAAAAATTAAAAAAAAAAGTGTGAGCCAAATATATTTTCAAGTTGAGTATTGAAAAAGACGTAAGAATTTGGGAAAAACCTAGCGGGGCTTTTGTGAGTTTTAAAAGGTATGTTAATAATCCTCCAAAGATGAAATTGTGCCTTTCCCTAGAGTTATCTTGAGTCACCCTTGGCCCTTGGCTTGAGGCCATGCAGGGATTTTTACAGTGTTGAGAATTATCTTTAGTGAGATCAAGTGGCAGTCATAATAAATTGAAGTACAGTTTAAAATGTGCTTTAAAAACACATCTTTTAGTCAAATTTAAATTAATTATGTATTTAGCAAAGCAAGGCATATCTGTTTTTTTTTTAAGGTAATTCCTAGATTGTGCAGTTTGTTGTACCTTTCATAATATTCATGCAGAGCTTTTTATATTGTGGATTTAGTGATATTTTCTAGAAGAATGCTGCTTTTAAATTTTTTTATTTTTTATTTTTGGAAGAATGCTTTTAGTAAATCCTTAGCTCTGATGCTGAAGAGATGACTACAAGTTGATACTGCAGGTTATTACATATATTAAGTGCATAGTCAAATTTCCTTGAGGCAACAAAAAGACTTAAGGCATTTGAAATTGTTAAATATGGTATACCATGATAGTAGATAGTAGTCTGAATTGCTCCTTGGTTAATACTTGGGAAGATCAAAATACAGTTGGCCCTCCATATCTGTGGGTTCCACATCTGTGGATTCAACCAACCTTGGATCAAAAATACTCCAGGGAAGGGAGGAAGAATCTATACAGACTATGTAGAGACTTTTTTTTCAGGTCATTATTCCTTAAATAATATAACAACTGTTTACATAGCATTTACATTGTATTAGGTATAAGTAATATAGACATGATTTAAAGTATACAGGAGGCTATGCATAGGTTAATGCAAATACTAGACCATTTTACATAAGGGACTTGAGCATCCTCAGATTTTTGTATCTGGGGGAGTCCAGGAACTTGTCCCCATGGATAATGCAGATCAACTGTATACTTATAAATTTATGTGTAGGACATTCTCTTCATTTAAATAGAGGTCACTAGGACCTTAAATACTCATCTCTTATTTACTCATTTATTTATACATTTTGGAAGAAATCAGCATCCATTTGAAACAGATATATGTCATCAGTTCAAGAAAACCTGGTTAAAATTGCCCCAACAAAAACTTGGACCTCTTGTAATAATTAAATTCAGAGTGACTGAGCAAACTACTGTGTTGTAGTACTCAGGGCATGATCCAAAAGGTACCTTGTCAGCCACAACTCTAGTTGCTGATGATGCAGTGCTATAAGGTGTTGTGAATTTTTCCTGTGAACTTGTTTGTTTCTAAAGATGTTTTCATTTTTAAACCTTTAAGTGAAATTCTGATAGAAAATATCAGCATCTCTTGCAGGGAGAATGCCAGGTGAGCAAGTTGTCACCGTAGGAATCAGAATGGACGTTATCATCCGTAGTGAGAATGGCAAATGGATAATCAACATCAGCCCAATTGCCAGACTAAAACATCATTATGACAGACTTCATTTGCAAGAATTCTTAAAACGGAGAAGCTGAAGAATAAAGTGGCCAGTGCAGATATTGTCTGTGCTTTTTACATTTAACAGATTTATTATGTGTTCTTTTTGTTTTCTTTTCTTTTTTTTTTTTTTTTTTTGAGACGGAGTTTTGCTCTTGTTGCCCAGGCTGGAGTGCAATGGCGCGATCTCGGCTCACTGCACCCTCTGCCTCCCGGGTTCAAGCGATTCTCCTGTCTCAGTCTCCCGAGTAGCTGGGATTACAGGTGTGCGCCACTACACCCGGCTAATTTTTTTGTATTTTTAGTAGAGGTGGGGTTTCACCATGTTGGCCAGGCTGGTCTCAAATTCCTGACCTCAGGTGATCCGCCCGTCTCAGCCTTCCAAAGTGCTGGGATTACAGGCATGAGCCACTGTGCCCAGCCTATGTGTTCTTTTTCTTACAGATTGTTTTTTTTTTTTTTTTTTTTTATTGATCATTCTTGGGTGTTTCTCGCAGAGGGGGATTTGGCAGGGTCACAGGACAATAGTGGAGGGAAGGTCAGCAGATAAGTGAACAAAGGTCTCTGGTTTTCCTAGGCAGAGGACCCTGCGGCCTTCCGCAGTGTTTGTGTCCCTGGGTACTTGAGATTAGGGAGTGGTGATGACTCTTAACGAGCATGCTGCCTTCAAGCATCTGTTTAACAAATCACATCTTGCACCACCCTTAATCCATTCAACCCTGAGTGGACACAGCACATGTTTCAGAGAGCACAGGGTTGGGGGTAAGGTCACAGATCAACGGGATCCCAAGGCAGAAGAATGTTTCTTAGTACAGAACAAAATCAAAAGTCTCCCATGTCTACCTCTTTCTACACAGACATGGCAACCATCCGATTTCTCAATCTTTTCCCCACCTTTCCCCCCTTTCTATTCCACAAAACCGCCATTGTCATCATGGCCCGTTCTCAATGAGCTGTTGAGTACACCTCCCAGACGGGGTGGTGGCTGGACAGAGGGGCTCCTCACTTCCCAGTAGGGGCGGCCGGGCAGAGGCGCCCCTCACCTCCCAGACGGGGCGGCTGTCCGGGCGGGGGGCTGACCCCCCCGCCTCCCTCCCGGACGGGGCAGCTGGCCGGGCGGGGGGCTGACCTCCCTGCCTCCCTCCCCGCCTCCCTCCCGGATGGGGCGGCTGGCCGGGCGGGGGGCTGACCCCCCCACCTCCCTCCCGGATGGGGCGGCTGGCCGGGCAGAGGGGCTCCTCTCTTCCCAGTAGGGGCGGCCGGGCAGAGGCGCCCCTCACCTCCCGGATGGTGCGGCTGGCCGGGCGGGGGGCTGACCCCCCCACCTCCCTCCTGGACGGGGCGGCTGGCCGGGCAGAGGGGCTCCTCACTTCCCAGTAGGGGCGGCCAGGTAGAGGCGCCCCTCACCTCCCGGACGGGGCGGCTGGCCGGGCGGGGGGCTGACCCCCCCGCCTCCCTCCCGGACGGGGCGGCTGGCCGGGCAGAGGGGCTCCTCACTTCCCAATAGGGGCGGCCAGGTAGAGGCGCCCCTCACCTCCCGGACGGGGCGGCTGGCCGGGCGGGGGGCTGACCCCCCCGCCTCCCTCCCGGACGGGGCGGCTGGCCGGGCAGAGGGGCTCCTCTCTTCCCAGTAGGGGCGGCCGGCAGAGGCGCCCCTCACCTCCTGGATGGGGCGGCTGGCCAGGCGGGGGGCTGACCCCCCCACATCCTTCCCAGACGGGGCGGCTGGCCGGGCAGAGGGGCTCCTCACTTCCCAGTAGGGGCGGCCGGGCAGAGGCGCCCCTCACCTCCCGGACGGGGCGGCTGGCCGGGCGAGGGGCTGACCCCCCCACCTCCCTTCCGGACGGGGCGGCTGGCCGGGCGGGGGGCTGACCCCCACCTCCCTCCCAGACGGGGTGGCTGCCAGGCGGAGACGCTCCTCACTTCCCAGACGGAGTGGCTGCCGGGCGGAGGGGCTCCTCACTTCTCAGACGGTGTGGCTGCCGGGCGGAGGGGCTCCTCACTTCTCAGACGGGGCGGTTGCCAGGCAGAGGGTCTCCTCACTTCTCAGACGGGGCGGCCGGGCAGAGACGCTCCTCACATCCCAGACAGGGTGGCAGGGCAGAGGTGCTCCCCACATCTCAGACGATGGGCGGCCTGGCAGAGATGCTCCTCACTTCCTAGATGGGATGGCGGCCGGGCAGAGACACTCCTCACTTTCCAGACTGGGCAGCCAGGCAGAGAGGCTCCTCACATCCCAGACGATGGGCGGCCAGGCAGAGACGCTCCTCACTTCCCAGACGGGGTGGCCGCCGGGCAGAGGCTGCAATCTCGGCACTTTGCGGGGCCAAGGCAGGCAGCTGGGAGGTGGAGGTTGTAGCGAGCCGAGATCATGCCACTGCACTCCAGCCTGGGCACCATTGAGCACTGAGTGAACGCGACTCCGTCTGCCATCCCGGCACCTCGGGAGGCCCAGGCTGGCGGATCACTCGCGGTTAGGAGCTGGAGACCAGCCCGGCCAACACAGCGAAACCCCGTCTCCACCAAAAAAATACGAAAACCAGTCAGGCGTGGCGGCGCGCGCCTGCAATCGCAGGCACTCGGCAGGCTGAGGCAGGAGAATCAGGCAGGGAGGTTGCAGTGAGCCGAGATGGCAGCAGTACAGTCCAGCTTTGGCTCAGCATCAGGGGGAGACCGTGGAAAGAGAGGGAGAGGGAGACCGTGGGGAGAGGGAGACTGTGGGGAGAGGGAGAGGGAGAGGGAGAGGAGGGAGAGGGAGAGGGAGAGGAGGGAGAGGGAGAGGAGGGAGAGGGAGAGCTTCTTACAGATTGTTACTCATGTTTATAAAATATAGCAAGAAGACAGGCTGATCTTTTTTCAACCTATTTATATTTTCTGCTCTTTTTTCTTACGAGAAAATTCAGTGTTACTCTTTCACAAATGTACCAGAGTTGGGACATATTAATTACATCTACAAATGCAAAATATTTCATAATTTTTTAAATAATGAAAACCATGATTACCATCTTTTGTTACAGGATAACTACTATAAAAATGTTTTTGACCTATATAAAAATGTTGCATGTCTTGAACCTACAAGTAGGCCAGCCAGCAGTACATGACAGCAGCTTCGCTTCTCTCATTTAACCGTTTACAGTATGGCCTACTCTTCACAACTGTTTTACCTTAGCTGCCAAGAAACTTAGTAAAAACAAAAGCCCTTAAATATAGCAGTGAAATATCTTGTAAAGCTTTCTTGCATTTAATTAATTCTCATTTTATTTATTTATTTATTTATTTATTTATTTATTTATTTCATTCTTTTGAGATGGAGTCTCGCTCTGTCGCCCAGGCTGGAGTGCAGTAGTGGGATCTGGGCTCACTGCAAGCTCCGCCTCCCAGGTTCACACCATTCTCCTGCCTCAGCCTCCCGAGTAGCTGGGACTGCAGGTGCCTGCCACCATGCCCGGCTAATTTTTTTGTGTTTTTAGTAGAGACGGTGTTTCACCGTGTTAGCCAGGATGGTCTCGATCTCCTGACCTCGTGATCTGCCCGCCTCAGCCTCCCAAAGTGCTGGGATTACAGGCGTGAGCCACTGTGCCCAGCCCTCATTTCATTTTTAATTTTTCTGTTTATATTTAATCTTGTAAGCACTCTTGAATTACCTTTGATTCCAGATTGTGTGGAGAATAGTCAGTATATATGTGGTAAATATATACTGTGGTTGTACCTTTTCCATTTTGCCTGATAGCATTACTTTCTGTGTTCTGTATCTGGCCTTCTCAACTTGCTTCTAATCTTTTGAAGACAGGAAATCATCTCTCAGAATTCGCTTCAAAGGATTGTGTGAAATTAGTGCATATAAAACACTTAGAATTGTCTTTGGAATGAAGTACTAACGTTAGCAGTAGTACTGTATTTTAATACGTAGCACAGCAGACTGCTCAATAGACATTATATACTTAATGGGTAGGGTTTATTAGGAAAAGATCTTTCTATATCATAATACCTAAAAATAATCAAGAATTGGAAACTTCTGTTTTAACCCAGAGCCAATGGAGTTGTAACATTAACTGCTTCTAAATACTTCTAATGTTTGGGAAAATTCAGATGTGACCTATCCCACCCAAGCATTATGTAATGCTGGGATATAGTTCTGGGGGAGAAAAAACAAAAACAAATTTAAATGCATCTTTTAGGCTAAGAAATGGATTACTGAATGGATAAGCTATGAAAAACATTAATTTCTTTCTAGAGGAGACCCAGGAGTTAGGTGCCCAGAGAAAGTCTTTTTTAAAAAATGTGTAACATGGGGCTGGGCACGGTGGCTCACGCCTGTAATCCCAGCACTTTGGGAGGCCGAGGTGGGTGGATCACGAGGTCAGGAGATCGAGACCAGCCTGACCAACATGGTGAAACCCCGTCTCTACTAAAAATAGAAAAATTAGCCGGGTGTGGTGGTGAGTGCCTGTAATCCCAGCTACTTGGGAGGCTGAGGCAGGAGAATCTCTTGAACCTGGGAGGCGGAGTTTGCAGTGAGCAGAGATTGTACCACTGCACTCCAGCCTGGGCGACAGAACAAGACTCCATCTCAAAAAAAAAAAAAATGTGTAACATGTTCTTAAACCTACTACGATTATGCTTAACGATGGGGCTATGTAATGAGAAATTCATCATTAGACAAATTTGTCATTGTGCGAACATCATAGAGTATACTTCCACAAACTTAAATGGTATAGTTTACTACACATCTAGGCTGTGTACAAACCTGTACAGCATGTTACTGTTCTGAATACTGTAGGCAGTTTGCAAAAGGAAGTGTATGTGTGTCTAAACAAGAAAAGGTACAGTAAAAATAGGTTTATATGGGACCACCATCACATAAGCAGTCTGTTGTTGACAAAACTTTGTTATGTGGCGCATGACTGTATTTTCCAATCCTGAAAGTCATTTTGTGTCTTCTTTTTTGCTGGCCACAGGCTACTTAGCCTGTAGTGTTAGAAAAACATACTTTCCATTTGTATTTCACCTTGAAATATATGCACTCATCTTCATGATTGTTATCTCAATCCATTTAATTCTACCATCAAGGTAGATTGTTGATAAAAATGGTCATTATGATTAATTTTTTTTTTTTTTTTGAGACAGAGTCTTCTTGCTCTGTCCCCCAGGCTGGAGTGCAGTGGCACAATCTGGGCTCACTGCAAGCTCTGCCTCCCGGGTTCACGCCATTCTTCTGCCTCAGCCTCCTGAGTAGCTGGGACTACAGGTGCCTGCCACCATGCCCGGCTAATTTTTTGTTACTTTTAGTAGAGACAGGGTTTCACCATGTTAGCTAGGATGGTCTTGATCTTCTTACCTTGTGATCCACCCACCTCGGCCTCCCAAAGTGCTGGGATTACAAGCATGAGCCACCGCACCTGGCATGATTAATTCTTAAACATAGCCATGTTGTAATAATTCATTATTTATGTCGCTGTTGATATCCAGCACCAATTTTGAACTTCTCCTTGTTCAGTAGACTGTATTTCAGTGCAGTATCTTATTCTTCAAATTCAGAGTTTTTTCAAGCATCAAATAAATATTTATTAACTCCTTATATACCCTACCCTAGATAAAAAAGAAATAAAAAGGAAACCCTGCTCAGTGAATAATCCTTCCCCTTGAGGAGCCTGAAATCTTTTGGTGGTTGATGAAAGAAACATCTGTTGAATATAGGCCTAAAGATAATGGGTACTCAAATACGTAATTGAAGTTGTGAACACTATAGATCATGAGAGATGGGAGAGATCATTGTATCCTGACCTACCTAAGGGAAATTTTGTGGAGAATGTGAGATTAAGTTTGTTCTTAAAGGGCAAGTAGGATATGGAAAGATAGGGGAGGAAATCTAGTGAAGTATTTCAGGTAGGGAAAAGACTTTGAACAAAGACACGGCCTTCAGAGAATAAGAGGGCTGGTTTCATTCACATTGAGGAGGTGGTAGTGGGAGGAAGGAGAGAATAGGACTGGCGGTATAAGGTGATCACATAATTGAAGTGGGATCTTGTGTGAGTTTGTATTACTATTAGCGTTAGGGAAAAAGGGCTAAAATATATCTTAAAACTCTTTTAGAACGCAGCCTCTCAAGATATGGCAACTGTTTCACCAAGTCATCATTATGGAATTTATATTAATTATAAAGATATATATTATAAAATAAAGCCATATATTAGGGATATAGATATCTTTGAAAATAGATAACTGTATAAAGATATTACTGAATAACTGAGAGAACTATGGGGATTTCCTGTACACTATGGATTGAGAAGGATTCTTATAGCCCACATAGTCAACATGTATCTCGTTTAGTGTGTAGTACATACATAAGCAGAGGTGTCCATCTTCTAATTTTCAAACTAAGTACCAATATCAAGCAGACATCTTTTTGTTAGTTGAAATAAATTATTAGCAGACATCATTTATTAATGAAAATTAAATGCACATAACCATTTTAACTTTAAGGGTAAAAAGCCCCAGAAGATTTAAGAAAAGGGCCATTCAAGATACAACTGATTTTACAGAGAAGAAGCAGATTCTGCTTAGAATGACTAATGGCCATTTTGGGATTAAAAAAAGGTAGTAAACATAAGACTGCTGGTTATGTGTAGCATGTATGTTGGCTAGTGGTTCATTTTCACCCCCAATAGAATGAATTTTAATTCTGGGATAAAGATAACTGTTTAGCATATTACTTAGTATTAAAAATAGTTGCAAATTCAATGTTTTTTTTTTTTTTAAGGATACATAAAAATATTCCCACTTAAGAACAGTTCCATAAAAGGTGATCCTGAATCAGGGTGAGGTGGCTCACACCTGTAATCCCAGCACTTTGGGAGGCCGAGGCAGGCGGATCATTTGAGGTCAGGAGTTTGAGGCCAGGCTGGCCAACATGGTGAAACTTCATCTCTATTAAAAAAAATACAAAAATTAGCTGGGCGTGGTGGTGCAGGCCTGTAATCCCAGCTACTTGGGAGGCTGAGGCAGGAAAATTGCATGAACCTGGGAGGCAGGGGTTGCAGTGAGCCAAGATCGCGCCACCACACTCTAGCCTGGGCAGTAGAGTGAGACTCCGTCTCAAAAAAAAAGTGACCCTGAATCAAAAACTTTACCAAATTGGTAGTAAAAAATGTCATATATGTCAATATTACATGGATTCTGAATGCCAATCTTAGGCTTATAGACTTTAACCTTCATAAAGCAGAGAGTCATTATTGATTCTGGAACAGGAAATGTTAATACAAGTTCTTTGTAAGTGTGGAGCTATCTTATTTTACTGGCATAGCCACAAATGAACTGCAGCAAATTCAAGTCTTCATATTTTTACTTCAAAAATCATGTGACTTTTGCTGTTCTTTGTAATATATCCACATTTGTTTTATTGTAAAATTATTTAATAATAATTGATCAATGAAAAGAATGTGCCTTATGTCTTGTGACTTTGTGTGAGCATGCTTAGAATACCTGACCTACTACGGTTCAGCAGTACCTTATCTAAATCAGCTTTTTTAAGGACAGCAACTTGAATATAATTGAAAGGTAATTTTACTAGCTTCCTGCCCTGGAGTAATTACGAAGCATAGGCATTCTTGATTAGGTTATCATCTTTATGAAGATTTCTGCCTGTATCTTTATATAAAGTATGTACTGGTTTTGAATAGAGGCATAGTTTTGTATATTATGAGATAAATATCAGAGTTGAATATGATTTTTAAAATTTACTTTCAGAAGTTCAGTAAACTTAAGTGATTGAACTAATTGAATTCCTTGTTTATAGAATGAAAGTTCGGAAGTGAAGTTTTATGGTTTTGAAGGTTAGAAACAAAAGGATTTAACATTTGTTAGAATCAAATCAATACAGTGTGTCCATATTTTTGTAATAAGTAGAATATAAAACAATAAACTTTTTAAATCGAGACTTGAGTCTCACTCTGTGGCCCAGGCTGGAGTGCAGTGGCGCTATCTCGGCTCATTGCAACCCCCACCTCCTGCGTTCCAGTGATTCTCCTTCCTCAGCCTTCCCAGTAGCTGGGATTACAGGCGCCCGCCACCACGTTTGGCTAATTTTTGTATTTTTAGTAGAGATGGGGTTTCACCATTTGGCTAGGCTGGTCTTGAACTCCTGACCTCAAGTCATCCGCCTGCCTCAGCCTTCCAAAGTGCTGGGATTACAGGCATGAGCCACCACACCGGCCCATTTTTTGAGTGCCTATTATATGCCAGGCATTGTATTAGATACTAGAAAGAGAAAGAGAAGTAGAGAGAGAGAAAGACAGAGATAATTAGATAAGTAAAACTTGGTTTCTGCATTGATTGATTGAGATGTTGTCTCTGTTGCCCAGGCTGGAATGCAGTGGTGCGATTTCGGCTCGCTGCAACCCCAGCCTCCTGGGTTCAAGCAATTCTCTTACCTCAGCCTCTGGAGTAGCTGGGATTACAGGCATGCGCCACCATGCCCGGATAATTTTTGTATTTTTAGTAGAGACGGGGTTTTGCCATGTTGGCAAGGCTGGTCTCGAACTCATGACCTCAAGTGATCTGCCCGCCTTGGCCTCCCAAAATGCTGGGATTACAGATGTGAGCCACTGTGCCTAGCCGTTGGTTCCTGCTTTTAGTTGAGGGGTGCTGAGTATGTAAAATATAATTGCTGTAAAGCACAGTAAATACTATAACAGAGATATGCACCTAAAACACATTTGGGTAAAAGTGGATAAACCAACCAATTTAGCTTCAGTACCATAAGGAAAGCTTCTGAAAACTGTACTCCAGCCCAGGCGACAGAGCAAGAGTTTGTCTCAAAAAAATAAAAATTAAAAAAAAAGAAGGGACTTACGCTGAAACTTTGTAAGTAGGTAGTGTTCCCAGGGTGGGAATGTGGGAAGAAGGGCATTCCAGACAGAGGAAACATTGTGTAATCTTCAGGGAACTACAGAGAGTATGGTTTAACCAAAATGAAGAGGCATGTTGGAAAGGGTTGAGAGATGACTCTTGACAGTAGACAGCTGTACTTTGTATACAGCCGAGAGGAGTTTGAACTTTATTATTTAATTATTGGAGTATCATTGAAAAACATGGAACTTGAACACACCGATTCTCATTTTGGCAAGATTTTGAGGTTGTTTGGAGGGTAAGTCAGGAGTGGTAATGGTTATGGGACCAGATAAGAGGAGCAATTAGCATATCATTGCTGTAGTCCAGATGAGGCATGGTGAGAGTCTGAAATGGCAGCGGGAATGACAAGAATAGATTTCAAATATGTTAAAGACGCCGAATCAGTAACATTTAATGATTAGCTGGATATGGTGGCACATAATCTCCACTACTCTGGAGGCTGAGGCAGGAGGATCACATGAGCCTAGGAGTTTGAGTCTATCTTGGGCAATGTAGCAAGACCATATTTCTTTAAAAAAATTTTTTTAATGATTGATTGTGAGTAATGAGGGAGAGAGAAGAGTCCAGTATAAATCCCTGAATGATGGGGTTATAGATGGGCACATTTCTCACTAGATTTTTGGAAGAAGTTTTACATATGTGAATAGCTTCTACAAAATTAATAAATATATAAAAGTAACTTCTGAGTAGGTTATTTCTAAGTTTTTCTTTATTTTTATTTATAGATGCCACTTCAAATGAACAACAAGAGCTTTTCTGTCAGAAGTTGCAGCAGTGTTGTATACTGTTTGATTTCATGGACTCTGTTTCAGACTTGAAGAGCAAAGAAATTAAAAGAGCAACACTGAATGAACTGGTTGAGTATGTTTCAACTAATCGTGGTGTAATTGTTGAATCAGCGTATTCTGATATAGTAAAAATGGTAAGCCTCTAGAATTATGTTCCTCAGATTTATGTAAATTTAAGATCTGAGGTATAATAATGAATTGAGACTGATTTTAAATAAATGTACAATAATTAATACATCCCCCAAATTTTAGAAAATAGTTCATACCCCATCCATTCCAATGATACCATCATTGCATATACAAGTTTGGGAATTGAGAGTCATAGTGGCTGGTGGCTTCCATATTGGATAGTGCAGATCTAGAGCTTAAGAGAAGGGTTTAGGCCTGGGATTATACAGATTGATAGGTAATTAATGTCATGGAGGTGAATAGTTACTGAGAACTTTTATTTTTATTTATTTATTTTTGAGACGGAGTCTTGCTGTGTAGCCCAGGCTGGAGTGCAGTGGTGCGATCTTGGCTCACTGCAACCTCTGCCTCCCAGTTTCAAGCAGTTCTCTGCCTCAGCCTCCCGAGTAGCTGGGATTACAGGTGCCCACGACCACGCCCAGCCAATTTTTGTATCTTCAGTAGAGATGGGGTTTCACCATCTTGGCCAGGCTGGTCTTGAACTCCTGACACGTTGATCGACCTGCCGCGGCCTCTGAAAATGCTGGGATTATAGGCGTGAGCCACCGCACCCGGCCATTACTAAGAACTTGTAAAGGGGAAAGGGAAGACCATTGAAAGACTAGGGATCTCCACATTTAAGCAGTGGGTAAGGGAGTCAGGTATAACGCTTTAATTGAAAGTCAGGATCTTTAAGAAGTTATAATATCTGATGTGGAAAAAAAACTGCAGCCAACTTTATTGAAGTAAGGTTGTTTAGGATGCTTGCTGTTTATTAATAATTCAACCTTATTTTCTATCAAACAGTATGATTTTGTTTAGTATTTGTGATTTTTTAATTTTATTTTATTGTATACTAACAAAATATAAAAATTCAGGCCAGTGCAGTGGCTCGCTTATGCTTGTAAACCCCAGCACTTTGGGAGGCTGAGGTGGGAGAATCACTTGAGGCCAAGAGTTCAAGACCAGCCTGGCCAGCATAGCAAGGACCCATCTCTACAAAAAGTACTAAAAATAAAAATAAAAATATTAGCTAGGCATGGTGGCATGAGCCTTTAGTAAAGGCCCAGCTACTCAGGAGGCTGAGGTGAGAGGATCGCTTGAGCCCAGGAGTTCAAGACTGAAGTGAGCCATGATCACCACTGCATTCCAGCCTGGGTTGACAGAGGAACACCTTGTCTCAAAAAAAAAAAAGTAAAAAAATCCAGTTGGACTAATTAGAGAGTCGCTGAGTACATAATTTAAACTTAGAGTATTGAAGCTAAAAGCAAATATAAATATAACCTACAGTTGCCTTCATTTCTTTCCCCTTGCCTAATATATGTTCTTGGGGAAGAACCAAATGTGTAGTAGGAAATATAAGTTTGGCCCTACTATAGTAGTTGGGTTTCCTTTTATCAATCTGTAGTATAAGACCTCTCAAAAGGAATTAGGAAATTTTTGATTGTTGGGTTTGTTTTTTTTCCTTAGAGAGAATAAAAGCCTTCAAAAAAAAATTTTTTTTTTTTGGAGACAGAGTTGGCTGGGCACAGTGGCTCATGCCTGTAACCCCAGCACTTTGGGAGGCCAAGGCGGGTTGATCACCTGAGGTCAGGAGTTTGAGAACAGCCTGGCCAACATGGTGAAACCCCATCTCTGCTAAAAATACAAAAATTAGCCAGGTGTGGTGGTGGGCGCCTGTAATCCCAACTATTTGGGAGGCTGAGGCCGGAGAATTGCTCGAACCTGGGAGGCGGAGGTTGCAGTGGGCCAAGATTGTGCCACTGCACTCCAGGCTGGGCGACAGAATGAGACCTTGTCTCAAAAAAAAAAAAAAAAAAGAGAGTGTCTCTTTTCCCAGGCTGGAGTGCAGTGGCGTAATCATAGCTCACCACAGCCTTGACCTCCTGGGCACAAGCTGTCCTCCTGCCTAAGCCTCCTGAGTAGGTAGAACTACAAGCATACACCACCATGCCCGATTAATTTTTTCATTTTTTTTTTTTTTTTTAGAGGTGGAGCCTTGCTTATTGCCCAGGCTGGTCTCAAACTCCTGACCTCAAGCAGTCCTCCTGTCTCGGCCTCCCAAAGTGCTAGGTTTACATGCATGGGCCACCATGTCCAGCCTCAAAAAAATTTAAAGATTAGCTATAGAGAGAACATTAATCAAAATGAAATTGGCTTAAACTCCTACAGACAATAAAAGGAAGTGATAGTTTGAGAACATAAATACTAAATATTGATGGACTTCTTCAAGTTTTTTTTATCATTTAAAAAGTTCAGGGAGAAAAAGCAGTATTTCCTACTGTTACTGATTTCAAATGGCTTATATTCAGGAATTTTTAAAGTCCTGGGAATTAATCTCTAAAATTGTTGACAGATACTGAAAGTCTCAAATATTTGAGTCAAATTTGCTATATACTAATAAATTATGGGATTTAATTTCTTTGCCCAAGTAAAAAGGTGTGTGTGTGTTGTTGCTTTCTTAAATATTTTATTTTGATTTCTGTGGGCACATAGTAGGTATATATTGTTGGTTTCTTAAAAATTTATGAGTACTTAATTTAATATCTAAGTAATACTTGAGTCATCTTACCAATTTAGACTCTTGAAGCTCTTCTGAATATTTGTTATATACAGTTAATTTTATTAGTGGCTACAAGGTTAACTTTTTCTTTTACTACTGACAATAATAAGTATGATCTCAAGGACAAATTCTACGCTCTTGTGAGATAGATTTCTTTTCAAATTGTATCGATGGCTTGCTGCTACTCTTTGTGAAATTGATGTCCATCAAACTGTTTATTGGCTTTGCCCTCAAGTACTGACTTTGAGTTCTGGCTGATCAAATTTTAGGTTATTACTTATTAAGTCTTAACGGTTACAGTAATTGACTATTAGCAGTTAATTTGTGTACCAAAGATGCCACTTCATAAGAATAGTTGGGAATTTGCTTGCAATTCCTTGTCTTGTCCTCTACCTCTGGAATAGTTTGTCTCAAAATGATCAACCCCTTAGTAGTTGGGCCTTAAATGTTTATTAAACTACTTAGTCTGTCAGTCTGTTCATTATTCTTAAAAAAATTGTAGATTAGGACCACAGTCTATCCTTTGCTAGAGAAAAAGGATATATATTTACCTTAGTACTAAGATAATGCAAAGCATGAAATTATAAATCCTTTATTTCACTGGATCTAAAATGAAGCACATCCTGATTTCAGGGTGGTTAATATGTTTTTTAAAAGTCTCAAAGTAGATGAAATACAGTAAATTAAATCATCAAAAGGTATTATAAACACATTTATATTAACAGTGAAGGCATTCTACCCTCACTCACCTCTTCCTTAGTGTGGTATGTATGTATAAGAATGGAGAGATTTTACCAAACTCTGAGTTATAAGGCAAGTATAGAATATGGCCATGTTGGAATATGGGAGGAATTATAGAAAGGTGAAATGAATCAAATTAAAGATAAGTAGAATTAGTAACTTTTTCCCTCGAATTCCCTGTACTCCCTTCCTCAATATTCTCCCTTTCCCTTCTTTCTTTTTTATTTTTTTATTTTTATTTTTATTTTTGGAGACAGGGTCTGGCTCTGTCACCCAGGCTGGAATGCAGTGGTATGATCTCGGCTCACTGCAACCTCTGTCTCCTGGGCTCAAGCGATTCTCCTGCCTCAGCCTCTCCAGTAGTTAGGACCACAAGTGTGCGCCACCATGCCTAGCTAATTTTTGTGTTTTTGTAGAGATTGGGGGTTTCACCATGTTGCCCAGGCTGGTCTTGAACTCCTGACCTCAGACAGTCTGCCCCCCTCGGCCTCCCAAAGTGCTGGGATTACAGGTGTGAGCCACTTCGCCTGGCCCCCTCTTTCTTTTTAAGCAAAATTCGGAAAGAACAATTTATAATTTAAAGAAGATGAATCCAGAGGTTATCTGTAATCTTCAGGAGCTTAGGTCTGAGGAAGTCAGAGTTATTGGATAGAGAAAAGAGAGAAACAAACACCTGCTTTCTTTGTATCTTGAAGAGGTTTACAGATTTTGAACTAAGCTTACAGCTATAACTTTTTTCTGAAAGTGATCTTTAAAATACTTCGTTTTGAATTGTCCAATTCAATTACACATACAACAACGAACGTAAAATTATTTTTTCTTTACAGATCAGTGCTAACATCTTCCGTACACTTCCTCCAAGTGATAATCCAGATTTTGATCCAGAAGAGGATGAACCCACGCTTGAGGCCTCTTGGCCTCACATACAGGTATGGAACATAATTACGTATTGGCAGTTTTTATATTTATGCTATTCTGCAGAAATCATGGTTTTCTCATTTAGATTCTGAGTGTCTGTGTAAAATATTTGACTTTTATGGTTTTATTAACATTATCTTCTTTCATGCAAGTACTGTTTTTCAATGTTTTTTCATTGTAATAAAATACACTTAACATATATTTACCATTTAAACCATTTTGAAGTGTACAATTCAGTGGCACAAAGTACATTCGCCATGTTATACAACCCATCACCACTCTTTAATTCTATAACTTTTCTATCACCCCAAATGGAAACCCCATTGGCATTTAGCACTCATGCCCCATTCTGCTCTCTTTACAGCCCCTGACAACTACCAATCTGCTTTCTGTCTCTGGATTTGCCTATTTTGGATACTTCATATAAGTGAAATTATGTAATATGTGGGCTTTTGTTTCTGGGTTCTTTCAGTTAGCATAATGTTTTCAAGGTTCATAAATGTAGTCTGTATCAATACTTCATTCCTTTTTATGGATGAATTATTCCATTGTATGGATATACCACATTTGTTTATCCACTTACCAGTTGATGGACATTTAAATTATTTCCATCATTTGGCTATTGTGAATAGAGCTGTTATGAACAGTTCTATGTATAAGTTTTTGCTTGAATCCATAAATTTTTATACATTATGTTTTTCTTTTCTTTCCTTTTTTTTTGAGATGGGGTCTGGTTCTGTCACCCAGGCTGGAGTGTAGTGGAGTGGCATGATCTCAGCTCACTGCAACTTCTGCCTCCTGGGCTCAAGCCATCCTCCCACCTCAGCCTCCTAAGTAGCTGCAACTACAGATGTGTGACACTACACCTGCTAATTTTTGTATTTTTAGTAGAGATGGGGTTTTGCCATGTTGCCCAGGCTGGTTTCGAACACCTGAGCTCAAGCAGCCCACCCACTTGGTTCCCAAAGTGCTGGGATTACAGGTGTGCAATTAATGACAAATTCTTTCAGTGTTTATCTAGGAATGTCTTAATTTCCTCTTCATTTTTGAAGGAGAGTTTTGCTGGATGTAGAATTCTTGGCTAACAGTCTTTTTCTTTCAACACTTTGAACATGTCATCCCATTTGTCTTCTTACGTCCATGGTTTTCTGATGACAAGTTAGCCATTAATCTTATTGAGGATCTCATCATGTATGTGAAAAGTCGTTTTTCTTTTGCTGCTATAAATGTTATCTCTTTAAGTTTTGTCAATTTGATTATGATGTATCTAGGTGTGGATCTTCTTGACTTTATTCTACCTGTTGTTTATTGAGTTACAATTAGAATTCATTATGTAAACTAATATTTTTCATAATATTTTATTTATTTTTGGTCATCATTCAAATATTTTTCCTGCCCTTTTTCTCTCATCTTCTGGGACTCTCATTTATGTGTATGTTGCTATACTTGATGGTGTCCCACAGGTCTCTGGAGCTCTGTTCAATTTTCTTCATTTATATATGGATTCTAGGTATTAATGCCAATTAATTTGCTGATTTTTTTTTAATTTTGCAAGTTTTTATATTCTGTAGTGACCTTTACATTTTCTGTTATTATAAAAAGATGAGAGAGGCCAGGCATGGTGGCTCACACCTGTAATCCCAGCACTTTGGGAGGCCAAGCTGGGTGGATCACCTGAGGTCAGGAGTTCCAGACCAGCCTAACATGGAGAAACCCCATCTCTACTAAAAATACAAAATTAGCCAGGCATGGTGGCACATGCCTGTAATCCCAACTACTCAGGAGGCTGAGGCAGGAGAATCGCTGGAACCCAGGAGGCGGAGGTTGTGGTGAGCCGAGATTGCGCCATTGCACTCCAGCCTGGGCAACAAGAGAGAAACTCCGGCTCAAAAAAAAAAAAAGAAAAAAGATGAGAGAAAGAAAATTACATTCTATGTCGTTTGGGATACTTTATGCAATAGTCTGCCTCATTATTTATTAATTTATTCATTCTGTGTAGCACCTATACATCCAAATAAAATGGAGCGGTGTCCTAGGATTAGTGAAAGCTGATAATGGTTTTAAGATCTTTCAGCACATTAGAGCTTACAGAACTAGAAAAATCCTAAGTGGTAAATTATTTTTTAATAGAACTGTACACAAGTTTATCTGAAATTTTGTTCCATAGTTGGTGTAAAATTAATAATGCTGTATATGAAATGTAAAGGTTTTACATATTCTCATTAGCTGATAAGTTGATAAGCTGATAATGAAAAATTCTCATTAGCTGATTTTTTAATCAGATGTAGTTGAACAGTCTGAAAAAGACCCCTTGGTCTTTGAATTTTTAAAAGTAAAGAAAGTGTTTTCATTAGAATATATTTATATGCTCATGGAAAGTAACAGTGGAAATTGAGCCAAGTAGACAATATGCTTTCCATTTTTAACTGGTATGATTTGAGGTTTTATTTAAATTCCCTGAAACCAGTGGTTCTTAACATTTTAGGAGGTGGTAAGTTGCTTTCAAAATATGATTTTTTCTTTTTTTATTTATGTATTTATTTTTGAGATGGAGTCTCACTCTGTTGCCCAGGTTGGAGTGCAGTGGCATGATCTCGGCTCACTGCAACCTCCACCTCCCAAGTTCAGATGATTCTCCTGCCTCAAGTCTCTTGAGTATCTGGGACTGCAGGTGCTTGCCACCATGCCCAGCTAATTGTTGTATTTTTAGTAGAGATGGGGTTTCAGCATGTTGGCCAGGCAGGTCTCGAACTCAGACCTCAAGTGATCCATCCACCTCAGCCTCCCAAAGTGCTGGGATTACAGGCATGAGCCACTGTGTCCAGCCCAAAATACGATTTTTGAGAAGTAGTTCTCTCTCAAGACAAATTCCCAGAGATAAAAGAAATTCTCATTCATCTATGGTCCCTTGATTAAAAGGCTCTGCCTTAGATATAGTTAAAAAATCTTTCTGAAAACCAAAATTTCTAGAAACCAAAATTTGGCATACAGTTTTTAAATTTGGCAATTAAATAGTCTAAGGACATCAGAAACTGGTAGATACTAAAGTGACCTGATTTATAGGATTTGTCAATATATTGTAGCTACGTTATTAATCATCTTGAGTGTTTTTAGATGGAATATTAAAACTACTCTGACAAATTAGATTATAGGGAATTGTAGCACTGAAGAAATTTGCTCAATGAAAGTTTCTTCTGCTATTATAATGTGTGCTTAACCCACCTGGAATTCTTTTGTTTCGTACTAAAAGTTTACGTTTTACATTTAGCTTATGAGATCCTAGATGCTAGAAACTAATTTATTAGGGTGGAAAATAAACATTAGTTGTTAATGAGGGAGTAATTACAAGTAATCTCAAAACCTTTCAAGCCTTTGTTTCCCCACCCTTTTCATGAATTTTCTAAACATGTGCTAATAAAAGTTTATCTGTTTTTACTTATTCTTACACTGTAATGGAAATACTAATGAGCAATGGAATAATGGAATAAAAAGAGATAGAAGAAAGGACCACAAGGAAGGTCATTTCAGTATTAGGGGATAGGTTGTATCTTCTAATTTATTAAGTGTAGTATTACATGGTAACTTAATGTACAACAGTTTTAAATTATTTTCTCATTTCTTTCCTAAGTATTATTGCTTTCTATTTATTGAAGACTAACAATATATTAATTTTCTGCACTTTTAGATAATTAGGACACTTGGCTGCTGTACTAGCCTGGAATACAGGCAGATTGTGTATTTTCACTTTCTTTTATTAATTACTTTAGTGGCACAGATAATTAAGATTTAATTATGTAGGATAGTGCCTAGAACATAGACCTTTTTAGGAATAAGTTGTATTTTAGGGATTAGAAGGCTTTTCTCTCTGGGCAATATAATTAGAAATTTAAACTAGCAACATACATATATTACAGTGTACACCTTTACATTCAAATAACTCTTGGCCATATACTATATTTTAAATATTTTCATGGGCTAAGAATCCAAAATGGTAGGAATCATAGCCTAATGCACTAACTTTATAGCCACAAAAATAAAAAGGAATATCTTTTATATAAGGTTGAGAAATACTTTCATTGCTTTGGCCTTTTTCATTGTGAATAGTTATTATCTTTTTAGTTCTTATGGATAAAAGAGCAGAGGGAAAAAACCTAGGCTCCCTGTATTTAAACTATTCAAGGTTTATGCACAATCTGTGTTTTCACAAGGATTACAGAGAAAAACAGATTCTTAAAAAACTAAGATTTTGTTAATGTTTACCTCATCCCAGGCAATGTTCTTTTTGGGTGCTTAATATATAATATCTCATATAGTTGACTATGCATTAATTTTTATATGAATTCTTTTATATATTAAATCAATTAAAAACCTTATTTACGTTTCCTCTTAATAGAGGTTGGAAAACATTGGTCACCTGTATTACTTGAAAGCAGCCTCTTAGGTACTTGTAGGTCTTTAAAGTTTGCTTCTGAGTCTTTGCCTCTCTGACCCAAACATTTCTATTCCTTTAGCTTTTTGTATAGGTCTTATTTTTCAGATACTTTAATCATCTATGCTGTTTTCTGTTGGAACTTCTCCCAAGTCTTTTTAATGGTGAAGACCAGAATTCTATGTTTTATGTTAACTCCCTTAGGAAAGACATGGTCAGAACTCAGTAGAATAGTAAGATTACACTCCTCAATTCCCTATACTTTTTAGTTATCTTTCACTTTTTAGGGTATTTTTGGTGTACAGAAGTAGAAGGACTAGCCATACATTGAACATAGTTGAAGTTTGTCATTTTATTAGTGAACTGAATTCACTGGTGAAGTGCCTGTTTTTCTTTGCAACACTGTTTCTTAGATTCTTGGAGCAAGTTATTTGTATAGAAGACCATAGAAGGCTGGGCGCAGTGGCTCACGCCCACTTGTAATCCCAGCAATCCCAGTAATCCCAGCACTTTGGGAGGCTGAGGCAGGTGGATCATGAGGTCAGAAGGATCATGAGGTCAGGAGTTCGAGACCAGCCTGAACAACATGGTGAAACCCCGTCTCTACTAAGAATACAAAAATTAGCCAGGCATGGTGGCACACGCCTCTAATCCCAGCTACTCAGGAGGCTGAGGCAGGAGAATGGCTTGAACCCAGGAGGCAGAGGTTGCAGTGAGCCGACATTGCGCCATTGCACTCCAGCCTGGGCGACAAAGCAAGACTCTGTCTCAAAAAAAAAAAAGAAAGAAAACAAGACCATAGAAAAACTTCAGTCACTACGTAGAAACACACCTTCTTAACAAATGTGATTTTCATTCATTCAGTAAGCATCTATTGTGTGTCAAGCATTTTTGTAAACATTGAGGGTAAAGTAATGAACTAAGCAAAATCCCTTACATCCTAGCAGAGAAGAACAAAATAATAATAAAATAATTGGCATATATTCTATGTTACGGTGTGATACATTTTTTAAAATGTAGGATGGAGTAAATAGAGAGTGACACTGGGACAGGATAAATTTTATAGAAGCATAATCTCAATTATTCCATTTTGAAGATTTCCAGCTCTGTAGATCACTAGTGTTTCTTCTACCTCTATTTGGGATAACTATTCATCATTTTTATTTATTTATTTTTCTGAGATGGAGTTTTGCTCTTGTTGCCCAGGCTGGAATGCAATGGAGTAATCTCGGCTCACTGCAACCTCTGCCTCTCAGGTTCAAGCAATTCTCCTGCCTCAGCCTCCCAAGTAGCTGGGATTACAGGCATGCACCACCATGTCTGGCTAATTTTGTATTTTTAGTAGAGACGGGATTTCTGCATGTTGGCCAGGCTGGTCTGGAACTCCCGACCTCAGGTGATCCACCCGCCTCAGGCTCCCAAAGTGCTGGGATTACAGGTGTGAGCCACTGCACCCGGACCTCAATATGTATTTAAGTAACTTTTTGTCATCATCTCTTTAGTGGTGCTAAGTTGGCGGCATAACAGCATTTTGCTGCTAATTTTGACTGATCACCTAATGTTTACTGTGTCAGGTAAATGATGTAGATGAAAACTATGAAAGAATTTATATGTGGTATTTGTGAATGGCACAGGTTTCAATTATATATATGGTTCAATTATATATATGGTTTAGAGAATTCAGTTTGAGAGAATTAGAGAATTCAGTCTGATTTGTAGCTTGATGTCATAAAAGTCTCCCATAGGACAGGCTATTACTCTGAAAACTATTAAGCCTTAAACCCTATATTTCTGATGAAGATCTTAAGAAGGGAGAGTAAATAGGCTAATGCATGCCACATTTGGCTCATGTTTAATGTTTAACCTGATCCCACCTTATGGTGGAATCTCCAGGGATTTGCATAAAGATTTGGAGTCTATAATTCCATACCATCAACCTATACTCTGCATTCTCTTCATCTCAAGACATGCTGCTTAAAAAAAAAAAAAAAAAAAAAAAAGCCAGGCATGGTGGCTTACACCTTACCAGCACGTTAGGATGCTGAGGCGGGTGCATAGCTTGAGCCTGGGAGTTCGAGACCAGCCTGGGCAACGTGGTGAAACTCTGTCTCTAAAAATAAATAAATATATATATTTTTAAATCAAGACATGCTGCTACATTTCTATAAAATAAAAGCCATCCTCTTCCTGAGGATCCAGAATCAAAACAAAGGATCTAGAATCAAAACAAATGCAGGGCTCAAGTTGCATATCCTCCTTAAAGCTTTTCCTACCTATTCCACAGTGATACAGCCCTTTTCTAAATAGCTCCTGCACTTATAGTCTGTGCCACATAATATAATTTTTGTGTAGTGAATGGGCTTTTTGAGCCATACCATCCCTAATGTCTGTTCATACTATACATAGCCCAGTACTGGACATGAAAATAGGCACTGAATGAATTAAGTTGTGCCGTTAATGAAACTGCATAGCAGTCCATGAGACTGTGCTGACTTTTCAGAGCGCTCTGTGATCAGTTTTGTATATCTTTTTGCACGTGTATACCCCAAAGCAAAATTATCTTTTATCTCTATTGTTGTTTGATTAGAAAATTATCTATGAATAAAAACTTAAATTGCTATCAAGTTTTATTTCTTGTTATATCCTTAATTTATGATAAACACAAAATGTTAGGTAACATTAGACCAGATAAGCATCACTCCTTTTCCACAGTTGGGCAGAGATACATCAAGCAAAATTGTATTTGCTCAGATCCCCAAACTTTTGTTAGCTGTAGACTGTTACTGAACTCACAGTAGTAAAAATGTGTTGTTACTTGGTGAATGATAAGGCCTAGATCTGGTAGTGCTTTTGTTTGCTCTAAGGTCTATTAATTTAATGTAGCAATCTTTCTTTTCCCTTTTTCTTTTCTAACTTCTACATCAACCTAACTGGCTACCTAAATGTTCATTGAATGACTGTTTTTGCTTTGGGATAGAATCCTCCTTTTTTATTTTTAGGGTGTTAAATTGATATAGTATTGTTTAATAGCTAATAAGATACATTTTGGGCTAAGTTTCTGCTTTTTATACCTATTAGGTTACAATAAAAAAAAACTTTAGTCATATTTGCCTTTCTCCTTGAAAGCAGGTATGATAGTGACAAGCTGAACCAAATATTTAATTCTGATTTGTGGTAGCAAGTGAACATTTGCTATTACTTGTAGGTTGCTTGGCACTTTTATAGAAGGCCTGCTATGACTTCTAGTTTATTTGCTGTGGTTGGTACACAGACATTTCTTCCCTAGCCCTGTACTTACGTAATTTGGTTCATTATTTCTCAAGTGTGGATAGGATATGCCTGGTTTTGATTTAATTAGTTTTCCCACTGTAGTTTTATAGAAAGACCAGAAGTTTTTCTTTTCCTTTCTTTTTAAAAATTAATGATACACTGCCTGTTTTATCTGGAGGTTGTTGACTCTGCATTTAAGAAACTCTGTAGTGATTAAATTGAGGTAGGTAGTAGTCCACTGGGAAGGAACATCTTCCTAGTGAGTATGGATTACAAAATAGGAATATATTTAATTAAGAAATATTTAATTTTATAGGCATTGTCCTTATTTTCTAGCTCCTGTAATTTAACGTTTTGCATCAAGTTATGTAAAGCAATAAATAAATCTCAAAGTTTATCAGCTTAGGAAACCAAATGGTGAATATATAGTTTCTAGGTTTGTTTGTTTATTTATTTATTTATTTTTCAGACAGAGTCTCACTCTGTTGCCCAGGCTGGAGTGCAGTGGTACGGCACAGTCACGGCTAACTGCAGCCTTGACCTCCAGACTCAAGCAGTCTTCCTACCTCAGCCTCCCAGTAGCTGGGACAACAGACATACGCCACCATGCCTGGCTAATTTTTTGATTATTTGTATAGACAGCGGTCTCACCATGTTGTCCAGGGTGGCCTCAAACTCCTGGGCTCAAGGGATTCTCCCACCTCAGCTTCCTAAAGTGTGTTGGGAGTACAGGTGTGAATTTTTAAAAAAAATTTTTTTTATCAACTCATTACATTTTATAATGAGATCTGAAATCTCCCCACTAAGTTGGTAAGAAAAGGTGTGTTTTTAATATGAAGTGATTATTTAGGGTAATATTCTGTAGCCATCATCTTAGCCTTTATTTGACTTTCTCTCATAGTTGGTATATGAATTCTTCTTGAGATTTTTGGAGAGCCCTGATTTCCAGCCTAGCATTGCAAAACGATACATTGATCAGAAATTCGTACAACAGGTAAGGAACTCTTTTGTCTTAGATTCTCATATATTCATCTTAGCAATGATTTATTAACTTATTATTAAAATAGTGTAGTCTTTCAAAACTTTAATGGTTTAATTTGACAGCACTTAATATTACTGCCAAACCATTAGAATAAAAGTGAAGTTAGCTCTGAGAGTACAAGAGTATTTTTATCAAGGGTGAGAGTCTAATGAAGTCAATCAAATTATCCTATTTAATCCTAAATTATCATAGTTATTTTATAAATACCAGAAAAACAAGCCTTTCTGCAGTATCTGAGAAAATGTGGTATGACCATTCAATCCATGGGCAAATCTTTGTTTTACATTTGTAAGTCTTTGAACTTGACATATATTTTAAGCATTGGGACTTTGAAATGACGGGGGAAAAAAGGAGTAGAATCATTGTGAGGAATTTGGGCTTTAGGCTCCTTTCCTAAGTATCAATTACCTTTTCCTTTTTCTTTCCTCTTTGCACCTAAGCCCCACCACCCAATTCCTAAACCACAGATAAAGTGGAATCATTAAGAACGTAAGGAGGTAGAATTAATTGTGATGCCTTCTTTTTTTTTTATAAACTGCTTATTAGCTGTTATTTTTGGAACCTACATATTCACAATTTCTAAGAATATATTCATTTTCAAAACCTTTTCAAAAATTTAAAGGCCTCTTTTTTTTTTGAGAGGGAGTCTTGTTCTGCTGCCCAGACTGGAGCACAGTGGTGCAACCTCAGCTCACTTCATCCTCCGCCTCCTGGGTTCAAGCGATTCTCCTGCCTCAGCCTCCCAAGTAGCTGGGACTACAGGCACACGCCACCATGCCCGGCTGATTTTTTTTTTCTATTTCTAGTAGAGACGGGGTTTCACCACATTGGCCAGGCTGGTCTTGAACTCCTGGCCTCAAGGGATCCTCCCACCTCAGCCTCCTAAAGAGCTAGGATTACAGGTGTGAGCCACTGCACTGGCCAAAGGCCCCTTTTTAACTATATGGAATTGGCTGGCCCCAAAGAAAATTGTGAAGTAGACCAAACCTTTCTAGGCATTTCTAGGCCTGAGTATGCAGGCCTCTTTAGGAATTTGATGCTGAGGCCAGGATTAAAATCATTGCAAGGACCTTTCCTACCCTTCAGACCGCTTTGTATGTGCCCTATGATAAAAATTCTACTAATGTGAGTTTGGTATATTTAGAGCTGATCTTTGGTCATTCATAACTACCCTTGACCTCATATAAAGTATTCTGACCTGTTGCTGTGAAGGATTGATAAATGAAGAACATTGTCAGCCTAAAATATTTCCTTCAACCATTGAAGTAGCTCTTCATAAACTATAAAGAAATATTAGGTGTGTATTAACAGTAACATATACATTTTAATCATGACTAAAAATTACATTAAATGGAGTTATGTTATTTTGGTAATTGCAAATGAATGCCTGTTTATTTCCTTGTGCAGCTCTTGTGTGGGATACATTAGGGAGCTCTAGTAATGCCATATGAAATTGTATTTAATACAGTAACAGGTTGAGGGGAACAATTGCCTTAGTGCTTTGTTAGTCTAGAGCTTGAGGTATTTAAGCTGCTGTATTATTTTGTGGTGTGAGGGGAGCAAAAAGAAAACTGGTGGGGCAGGATCTGTTTTCTACCTTCTACTTTAAATGCTTGAATTATCTGAGAAGCTAGGGCCCAGTAATTGCTTTTAGCAGTTTATATGGCTGTTTTGCTCTTGTTGCCCAGGCTGGAGTGCAGTGGCTGGATCTTGGCTCACTGCAACCTCGGCCTCCCAGGTTCAAGCGATTCTCCTGGATCAGCCTCCCAAGTAGCTGGGACTGCAAATGTGCCGACATGCCTGGCTAATTTTTGTTTGTACTTTTAGTAGAGACAGGGTTTTACTGTGTTGGCCAGGCCGGTATCAAATCCCTGACCTCAAGTGATCCGCCTGCCTTGGCCTCCCAAAGTGCTGGGATTACAGTTGAGAGCCACTTTGCCCGGCTGCCATTTTTAATTAGAATAATTTGATGTGAACTTATTAGATATATTAACAAAAATTCTCATACTCCGTAGATATTTTTTGCTGGAGTCTCATGAGGGCCTTAACAGCCTAGCAAACAAAGAATGGAAACTATAAGTATGGCAGTTGTTTTGGGAGATATAAATATGATTTAAGTCATCCACTCTGGTTTCAGATGCATGTGTTAGCAATTGTATATAATTCAAAACAAAATGGAATAAGAACTTCTGATGAGGTTCAGAGCTTGCTATCTTTATTGTAATTATAAACACGAAAGTTCAGAACATAAAATTCCTTGACAGCTTTACAGATACTTGTACTCTAGAGAGAGTATTTTATATTTTTCTAAGAAAATCCAATGTTTAAAATACAGTGTTTTTTTTGACAGAAGAAATTAAGTTTCTTTACCATTTTAAATGGAAATTTGAGATTTTGACTTTAACTTTTTCTAAAGTCTCTTCTCTCAGGTTTTGCTGAAAAGTTGTGCAGAATATAGGAGTACACTGATTGGGCCAATTGAGGTATAGGAGAGTGCTGACTGTGGAACTGGTTTAAAATTTTTCAGCTATTTGCTAAGCTGAAAAATCTATGGGCTGGGCATAGTGGCTCACGCCTATAATCCTGGCACTTTGGGACACCGAGGAGGGTGGATCGCTTGAACTCAGGAGTTTGAGACCAGCCTGGGCAACATGGTGAAACCCCGTCTCTACCAAAAAATATATAAATTAGCTGGGTGTGGTGGCATGTGCCTGTAGTCCCAGCTAGTTGGGAGGCTGAGGCAGGAGGATCTTCTGACCCCAGGAGGTCGAGGCTGCAGTGAGTTGTGATTGCATCACTACCCTCCAGTCTAGGCTACAGAGCAAGACTGTCTTAAAAAAAAAAAAAAAAAAATTTGGCCTCATCTTTTAGTCCAGTGTTATTTTATATATGATTTCTACTCTATTAGTATGTATCTGCCAATATTTTATTCTAATAACTGAATGTTAATTTTTCAAATGTCTGCATGGTAACTGTCTTGAATTTATTGTAAATTCACAAAAAGAAGTCTTAGTATATGTACATCTTTCTAGTAAACTAGAAATATACATTTACACATGGATCTTTTTAAGACTATTTGATGACTTGCAATCTAAAAACTTAAACGATTTTCTATGTAGTTTTGACGATCAAAAAGCATTAAAAATCCCAAATTTTAACACTCCAAAATTGTGAGCCTCTTTAGTATTCAAGAGTAGGATTGAATTTTAAAATCAGTGGGAAGGTAAAGAAAAATCCACTTTTTGAAATATTTATATTTATTGTAAATGTCATATTTTGAAGTGAAATAAGTGAGAAGAAATATTTCCTAAGCTTTTCCTCACCTTCATTACTTAGCAAGAATAAAGTCAGTGTGGTAAGGAAGAACTCTAAAAAATTTTTAAAAGATGTCATGGATAATCTTTAAGATCAAAATTAGAATAAAGCTTTAGCTCGATTATTTTTTAAAAGTAATTTCTCAGGTTTCTTTTAAAGCTCCTGGAGCTTTTTGATAGTGAAGATCCCAGAGAACGTGACTTCCTGAAGACTGTTCTGCACCGAATTTATGGGAAATTTCTTGGATTAAGAGCATTCATCAGAAAACAAATTAACAACATTTTCCTCAGGTAAATTAATCATTTATTGTATATTGCACCTTTTCCTCCTACATATCTTCTTGTATTCAAGTTCTTTTATTTTTATTTGTTTTTTTGAGACAGGGTCTCACTCTGTCATCCAGGCTGGAGTGCAGTGGTGAGAACATAGCTCATTGTAGCCCCCATCTCCCAGACTCAAGCAATCTTCCTCTCTCAGCCTGCCAAGTAGTGAGACTACAGGTGTGCACCACCACGCCTGGGTAATTTTTTTGACTTTTAGTAGAGACAAGGTCTATGTACTGTATGTACGTAGTATATATATGTAACATATATATGTAACATAGTATATATGTGTAACATATATATGTAACGTAGTATATATGTAACATACTATGTATGTTGCCCAGGCTGGTCTTGAACTCCTGAACTCAAGCAGTCCTCTTATATGGGGCCTATCATTTGCTTGTAGTCATCCCTCAGTATCTGGGGAGGATTGATTCCAGGGCCCCTGCTAATAGCAGAATCCAAAGTCCCTTATATAAAATGGCACAGTATTTGCATATAACGTCCACACATCCTCCTGTATACTTTATTTCTAGATTACTTACAATACTTAATACAGTGTGAATGCTGTGCAAATAGATGTTATTCTATATTTTAAATTTGTATTTATTTTTCAAAAATATTTTTGATCTGTAGTTGGTTGAATGCACAGATAATGAAACCTGCGGATACAGGGCCAAGTGTACTTTATAAATATTAATCTGTTAAGTAGTTGCTTCAGATCAGGAGATTTCATAACAACACCCACATTCAAGGTTTGGTTTGTTTAATTAATTGAAGATCTGGCAAAATTTGGTTACTATTCCCACATTGCAACAATTAGAGATGAGTAATATCTGCCTCCTCTAGAGTGAATATCTTTCTCCAGTTCTCTGTCATCACTTCCTAAGCCCATTTCAAATATCTGCCCTATTATATTTATGTCTCCCTGCTTTAAAGGCAGCCCTAATCTTGGAAAGCTATGCAGCCTATATAGTTAGAGGTGTAAAGAAATTCTGATTAAAAATGGCTTTATTACATATGGGTCTTTTTCTCTTGGATTTCCCTATAATTAGAGGTTTCTTATTTTAAAAAGTATTTCTTTGAGGAAACTTATCTTTCTTATTAATTATTAAGTTGAATATTCCAGGTGAAATGACAATCTGTTATCTTCACATATGGCGAGTTTTGGCAAAGGCATATGTAGTTCAGTAGGAAACATCTTCTTTTTTAAGATTGATATGAATTAACTGTTTGGGGCAAAACTGCTTATAAGACCCAAAACATGCTTGTGTGTTTCTAATAGCTGTCCTTTGGATTGATTTCTTCACCCTCCTGCCTGTTTCTCTTAGTTTTCTGAAGTTTGATTTTGATTACATCTTGTCTTTATTTTAAATTCAGGTTTATATATGAAACAGAACATTTCAATGGTGTTGCTGAACTTCTTGAAATATTAGGAAGGTAGGTCAGGTTTTTTTGTTCTTTTTAAGAATTAAGTAAGTGAATGTTTTATGTATTAAAATCTTAGCTGGGGTTGGAGAAATTATGTCATATTTTAGAGTTTAAATGTAGAACACATAGTTTCTCAACTGAAGTCTTTTTTTTTTTTTTGAGACGGAGTTTCGCTCTTGTTGCCCAGGCTGGAGTGCAATGGCGCGTTCTCGGCTCACTGCAACCTCTGCCTCCCGGGTTCAAGAGATTCCCCAGCCTCAGCCTCCTGAGTAGCTGGGATTACAGGTGCCTGCCACCACACCCAACGAATTTTTTAATTTTTATTTTTAGTAGCGATGGGGTTTCACCGTGTTGGCCAGGCTGGTCTTGAACTCCTGACCTCAGGCAATCCACCCCCTTCGGCCTCCCACAGTGCTGGGATTACAGGCGTGAGCCACCATGCCCAGCCTCAGCTGAATTCTTATTACCTTTTGCCATAACACTTTGCCTTCCTTATTCACTACGTATTAGTATTAAGAGAATTTTAGACCCTTCTGTTACTATTTAGACAATGATTTTAGTTTCCTTTATTAATAGTAGAAAATGATTGTGGAGAGAACTACTTCTTTCACGTTATCCAACAAAGTAAGAAAAATTACCCATTTACTTCAGAAAAATATTGAACATTCTAACAATATTGTGGTACTGACTCTCCTGGAGCTTTGGGGGCAAAAATAAAAGCAACAATGCATAAAGTGACAGGTTTGATAGAAAATGAAGATAGAAATTACTTGGGAATTAATTGACAGTCCTAATTTTCTTTTGGAATCATCAAATGACTTAGAGGAACAGACTTCATAGTAATAGTCTTCCTAAAGTAGTTTGAAGATGAGCAGTCATACAACACCAGGATTGAAGCATAGCACTGTTCCTTATGTACTCATGGATATGACAGCTTTTAGAAACAAAGTAGTAACTACTTAACCCTTCCCCTGCCTTTTTTTCCCTCCAGTATTATCAATGGCTTTGCATTGCCACTGAAAGCAGAACATAAACAATTTCTAATGAAGGTTCTTATTCCTATGCATACTGCAAAAGGATTAGCTTTGTTTCATGCTCAGGTAAGTTTCAGAAACATTTCAGATGAAATGAATATTATTTCAAAGGCCAATATAAAGGCAGAGAAATTGAGAAATACTGAGATGACAGTTTTAAGTATAATTAAGCAATTTGCTTACAAAATTACCCAAAGCAAATTTTTCTTATTTTAAAGTATTTAGTTGTTAAGTAAGACCAATTATTTAATTTCTATATCTACACTTACAGTTTAAGATACACACTTTCCTCATATTATAGTCCAGGTCTTGACCTAATTATGTGACTTTGAATAAATCCCACATATCTACAGAATGTTTCTTCCAGCTGCAATAACCTAGACCTAGTTAGAGAGATTTTGGTCTCTTCTATTAATATTTAGAGAATAATATATCAGCATAGGTGTACATGTAGAAACATGCTGAAAAACTAAATTGTTAGCTCTAGTCTTATTTCAGTTAACTTTATAGTCAGAAATTACTACTAAAAATGTTTTTTAAACTTGAAGTTACTTTCAAGGCTAAAAAGTTACACAATTGTGAGTATAGTTTCACGATTGAGGTATTTCACAATTTCATTCACAGTTGTGAGTATATTTTTATATATTGGAATAATTTATCAAAATGAGGTAGTCTAAAAAATATTGGCTAAATATAAAAATCCTACATTATTAAATGTTATCTCACTAATATTTATAAACTGTCCCTTACCTTTTAGCTAGCATATTGTGTTGTACAGTTCCTGGAGAAAGATACAACACTAACAGAGCCAGTAAGTGTTCTATTTATTTTCATGTTTTTGGTCTGCATTAATAGCATTTCATTGTAGCTTTCGTTTTATAGCCTTTATAGTTATTAAGTAGAATAATGTACGTTAAGCTAAAATCATTTAGAAGAAGAAATGTGAGATTAATCTACATTAAAAGAAGGGGTTAGGAGGGGAGAGTTCTCGTGAGTTATGTCTTGAATAACCGAAATATAGACTACTATTAATATGTAGTAGTTAAGATGTACGATGATAGGATCAGATGACCACAGTGAAATTTTATATGCATACTGTCTTCACCAATAATCTTTTAAATCTTCATTCACCTTTTGGAATTAAAGCATACTTCGAGGGTCCCAAAACTACTACTCCCTTGAATTTTGTTTTGTTTTTAATAATAGAATTTTTGCCACTCATTAACAATAAACCACTTGATAGGGATAGAAAACATTTCCTTGCTTTTGGTGATTAAGATATAAGATGTAATCTTGGAATAAAAGTAGTTTATGAACCAGCAAGGCAACTTAGGCTTTGAATTCTACTGTTATTTGCCTCTAGAATGAAAATTCAGGAGAGAGTGAAAACATAATTAGTTATGAAAATTTACTGAGGATTCAAGAAAAACAAAAGATGAAGTAGGGTGAAACAGAAAAGTATAAAAGCATAGAAAACATTTTAACCTTGGTGAAGTAAGTATTTTGAGAGAATGCTTTCTAGGCATGTTCAGTCTAAATATTTACCTAGTATTAGGTTGGTACAAAAGTGATTGCGGCTTTTGCCATTACTTTTAATGGCAAAAACCACAATCACTTTAGCAGCAACCTAATAAATATTTAGTAAATAGCAAAGGGTTTGAAAAACTAAAATATATATGTATTTTTACTATATTATGAACCTTCTCAGGCTATCCGTAGGGATGCTTGAAAAAATCATATACTTAGTATTCTCCCTTTCACTTGAACTTTGTGTAATGGAACAAAAGACATTTTTCCACTCCTTAATTTTTATTAGTTTTTTGACTTTTAGATTTACAGTCTTTTCTAGAAACAGCTGTAAACAGTTTTTGAAGACAATTCAGGAGAATTAGAAACCATATATTTGTACATGAAACCACATAAACCTCTGAAGTTGATTCCCAGGTGTGCAGTGGCTCACAACTGTAATCCCAGCACTTTGGGAGGCTGAGGCAGGCAGATAACTTGAGGCCAGGAGTTTGAGACCAGCCTGGCCAACATGGTGAAACCCTGTCTCTAGTTAAAATACAAAAATTAGCTGGGCATGGTGGCACAGGCCTGTGGTCCCAGCTACTCAGATGGCAAGGGCACAAGAATTGCTTGAATCCAGGAGGCGTAGGTTGCAGTGATCTGAGCTCATACCAGTGCACTCCAGCCTGGGCAACAGAGTGAGACTCTGTCTTCAAAAAAAAAAAGAAAAAAGTAAAACCTTAATACAAATCTATGATAACTCCCATTAGAATTAAGAAAAAGAAAACCCATAATAACACATATTGAAAAGTCATGGTTCATGCTTGGTAAATAGTATACAAATAAAATTTTATTTAATTAATTTGGGGTGGATAAGGAAGACAGGTGATTTATTTTTAAAGAATGGAAGATAGAGGCTGGGCATGGTGGTTCATGCCTGTAATCCCAGCACTTTGGGAGGCCGAGGCAGGCGGATCACCTCAGGTCAGGAGTTCAAGATCAGCCTGATCAACATGGTGAAACCCCATTTCTACTTAAAAAAAAAAAAAAAAAATTAGCTGGGCATGGTGGCGTGTGCCTGTAATCTCAGCTACTAGGGAGGCCGAGGCACAAGAATCACTTGAACCCTGGAGGCGGAGGTTACAGTGAGCCGAGATGACACAAAAAAAAAAACAAAAAAACAAAAAACCTTGACGATTAGGGAGAGGGATGATGGCCAGTTATTCAGCTTTTATCTGGTTTGGCTGAGTTGGGTTAATGAAAATAGGAGCAGGATGAGGAGAGAGAGTAAGATAAATACCCAGGTTAAGAAAGGAAAATATTTTCCAACTCATAAAGATCTCTCGATATAGAGATCTTGCAATTTCTAACATAGGCCATTCCAGCACCAAAATTACGGCCATATTACTTGGGTTTAAGCCTTAATACTAATTTTCTGGAAAGCAGGCATTCCTATCAAAGCTTTCTACAAATTATAAGTAGCTCAGAGCTTTTGTTAGTTTATTACTCAAGCCTGTAATCCCAGCACTTTGGGAGGCTGAGGCAGGCAGATCACCTGAGATCAGGAGTTCAAGACCAGCCTGGCCAACATGATGAAACCCCATCCCTACTAAAAATACAAAAATTAGCCGGGCGTGATGGCGGGCACCTGTAATCCCAGCTACTTGGGAGACTGAGGCAGAATTGCTTGAGGCAGGAGAATGGCTTGAACCCAGGAGGGCAGAGGTTGCAGTGAGCCGAGATCACAGCACTGCACTCCAGCCTGGGCAACAGAGTGAGACTCCGTCTAAAAAGAAAAAAGTGCAGAGTGGAAGAATTAACTAAATATTCATTACAGCTAAGTTTCCATGTAAAGAGGAAAAAAATGAAGAGTCGGCATGACTTTCAAAACTTTTATTTTTTTGGCAGTGTAAACCTTTCCTTCCACTCAAAGCTGCATTTTTATAAAACAAGCAAAACAAAACAAAACACCGTTCTTATTCCAAGAAAATCTAACTTGAGCCCCAAAATAATTTTTTTATTTTTCTTTTTTATTTTATTTTATATTTTATTTTATTATTTTATTTTTATTTTATTTTATATTTTATTTATTTTTTTGAGACAGAGACTCACTCTGTTGCCCAGGCTGGAGTGCAGTCAGTGGCACCATCTCGGCTCACTGCAACCTCCACCTCCTGGGTTCACGCAATTCTTGTTCCTTAGCCTCCTGAGTAGCTGAGATAACAGGCGCCCGATACCACGCCCGGCTAGGTTTTTTTTTGTATTTTTAGTAGAGATGGAGTTTCATCATGTTGCCCAGGCTGGTCTCAAACTCCTAAGATCAGGCAGTGTGCCTTCCTTGGCCTTCCAAAGTGCTAGGATTACAGTTGTAAGCCACTGCACCTGGCCCACATTGACATCTTTTTGGGGGCCACTAGTCAACCCAGTGTTCGTTATTCAATACTGCCCGACATTGAAATTTGTGTATGATGAGGGTAAGGAACTACATTTGGGTTTGTTTGTTTGTGTTTTGGGTTTTTTTTTTTTTCAGACAGGATCTCACCACATCACCCAGGATGGAGTGCAGTAGTACGATTGTGGCTGACGGCAGCCCTGACCTCCCAGGCTCAGGTGATCCTCCTGCCTTAGCCTCCCAAGTAGCTGGGACTACAGGCATGCACCACCATGCCCAGCTAATTTTTTTGTATTTTTGGTAAAGATGAGATGGGGTTTCACCATGATGCCCAGGCTGGTATTGATCTCTTGGGCCCAAGCCTGCCTTGGCCTCCCAAAGTGCTGGGATTAAAGGCCTGAGCCACCATGCCTGGCCTGCATTCATTTTCAATTACGCATATCAAATGATCACAAAATTTATTGGCTTAAAATAGCAAGCATTTATGGCCTTTATCAAAGCTGCAGCTGCTTCCATGTAGCTGCTGTGGTCAAAAAGAAGCCAAGAGTGACAGTTTTCCTTGATGGTCATAGTTCTGTTTGCTGTAACTGATCTGCAAGATTTTGGGAAAATACCATTCCATTGGGAGGAAAAATGACAAGCATTTGTTGCCTTAGTTGCTGTGAATCCAGAATCTGGTCATGGCTTAGGTGGGCCCTCTGCTCAGGGTCTCTTACAAAGCTGCAGTTGGAGTGTTGGCCAGAAGTTGAGTCTCATATAAAGTGTCAGATGGGGAAGGATCTGCTTCTAAGTTCACATGTATGTTGGCAGAATTCAGTTTGTCAAGTTATGTTGGACTGAGAGCCTCAGTTCCTGGCTGGCTGTTGGCCAGAGCCCACCCTCAGATCCTTGTCACCCAGGCTTCTCCAGCATGGCACCTTACTTCATCAAAGCCAAGACAGCGAGTCTACTAGTAAGACAGAAGTCACAATCTTTTGTATCTTACTCATGAAGTGACATTCTTTCACTTTTGCCACAGTCTGTTCGTTAGAAGCAAGTCACTAGGACAGCTCACACTTAAGGAGAGGGGATTACACAAGGGTGTGAGGACAGTTAACAAGCTCATGAGATCATCATAGAAGTCTGCCAACCAAAGGAGCCTGCTACATTTTTCCTTTCTAAATAGTGAGCTACCTGTCCCAGTACCACCACTGTTTCCCATGGAACTGAAAGGCCACCTTTGTCATATATTAAAATCCATATATACATGAGTATATCTAGATACTCATATATATCTTTTCTCTCCATTTCTTTGCCAATATAATCTTGTTTTAGTTGCTGATATCCATAATACAGGTTCTGTTCCATTAACTCCCCCCACCAAAAAAACAATTCTTATTTGCTTATATTTATGGATTTTAGAATAAATGTTTCTAGTTCCAAAAAATAATTCAATTGGCATTTGATTGAAATTATATTAAATTTACTTATAAATTAAGTACAGGAAAAATATCTCTGCACAATATTGAACCACCTCACTTATTTACAGTCATGTGCTGCATAATGACATTTCGTTTAATAACAGGCTACGGGCCGGGCGCTGTGGCTCAAGCCTGTAATCCTAGCACTTTGAGAGGCCGAGGCGGGTAGATCACGAGGTCAGGAGATCGAGACCATCCTGGCTAACACAGTGAAACCCCGTCTCTACTAAAAATACAAAAAATTAGCTGAGCCTGGTGGCGGGCGCCTGTAGTCCCAGCTACTCAGGAGGCTGAGGCAGGAGAATAGCATGAACCCGGGAGGCAGAGGTTGCAGTGAGCCGAGATCGTGCCACTGCACTCCAGCCTGGGTGACAGAGCGAGACTCTGTCTCAAAAATAAATAAATAAATAAAAATAACAGGCTACATATAAAATGTCAGTCCCAGACAGGCGTGGTGGCTCAGGACTGTAATCCCAGCTACTTGGGAGGCTGGGGTAGGGGGATCTCTTGAGCCTAGGGGGTTGCAGTGAACTGTGATCACACCAGTGCACCCCAGCCTGGCCGACAATGCAAGTCTGGACTGTCTCTTAAAAAATAAAAATGGAACTGGGCATGGTTGCTCATGTCTGTAATCCCAGCACTTTGGGAGGCCAAGGTAGGAGGATTGGTTGAAGCCAGGACTTTAAGACCAGCCTGGGCAACAGAGCAAGACCTCGTTTCTACAAAAAGTAAAAAATTAAAATTAGCCAGATGTGGTGGCATACACCCGTAGTCCCAGCTACTTGGGAGGCTGAGGCAGGAGGATCATTTAAGCCTAGGAGTTCAAGGTTACAATAAGCCTAGGAGTTCAAGGTTACAATGACCTCTGATCATGTCACTACACTCCAGCCTAGGCAACAGAGTGAGGCCTCATCAAAAAGAGAGAGAAATGTTGAGAGAGAGAGAGAGAGAGAGAAATGTGATTCCAAGAGAAAGAAAAATGGTGATCCCATAAGATTATAATGCTATATTTTTACTGTACCTTTCGTGTTTAGATACACAAATACTATTGTTACAACTGCCTACAGTGCCTACGGTATTCAGTACAAGAACATCCTGTACAGGTTTGTAGCCTAGGAGCAAAAGGCTACACCATACAGCCTAGGTGTGTAGTAGGCCATACCATCTAGGTTTAAGTACACCCTGTGACATTTAAATGATGAAGTTGCCTAATGACACATTTCTTAGAACGTATCCCCATCATTAAATGACATATAACTGTATTTGTAGTCTTCTATGATCTTCAGTAAAGTTTTATGCTTTTCTCCATATGTCTTAAGTATTTCTTGCAAATTTATTCTTTATGCACATTATAGTTGTTGTTGTGAAAAGTACCTTTTTATTATTCATCTGATTTTTACTGATGTTTTATAAAGGTATTGATTTTTATATATGTATTTTTTAATGTGGCCACATACTGAATTTTCCTACTCACTCTAGTAACTTGCAGGGTTTTTTTTTAAGTTTTAAGGGATATATAAATATACAGTTACACAAATAAGTGTAATTCTGGTATTCCTTTCCAACATTATTCATCACATTGTTATCTTACTGGATTGTCTCCAAAACAGTATCCTTCCCAATTTTAATTTGAATTAGTGTTCCACATTACTGGACCAGACAGACTATAAAGTAACCTAAAAAGCTGTCAAAGATCTATTTCCACAAAACCACCAGGCCTAGATGGTTTTACAGCCTGTCTCTAATAAATCATTATGTAGAATGATTGCTGGTGGTTTCTGATAAATTCTTTTAGTTCTAGCTTACTAAATTTTTTTATCAGAATATATAGTCAATTAAAAATGTCAAATGACTTGAAAATCTTTTAAAATGATCTGGGTTTTTTTTTTTTATTTCCCCTTTTAACCTATGAATGGAACCATCCTGGCATTTCTGGAATAAGTTACAATTAGGCATATAGCATTCTTCTATTGTGATTCAGTTTAATGCAAGTGTTTTCAACTTTGTTTATTTAAATAAATAGTCTCCACTTTGGGAGGCCGAGGCTGGTGGATCACAAGGTCAGGAGCTTAAGACCAGCCTGGCCAAGATGGTGAAACCTGTCTCTACTAAAAATACAAAAATTAGCTGGGTGTGGTGGTGGGCGCCTATAATCCCAGCTACTCGAGAGGCTGAGGCAGAGAATTGCTTGAACTTGGGAGGCCGAGGTTGCAGTGAGTCAAGATCACACCACTGCACTCCAACCTGGGCGACAAAGTGAGACTCCATCTCAAAATAAATAAATAAATAAAAATAGTCTCTTTTGTTTCATTGTATTCTGGTTATAAAGATTGTGCTAGCCATGAAATAGACTGAGAAGCTGTCCAGGGTTTTTTTTTGTGTTTCATAATGGTTTAAATAACAGGAATCATCTGTTCCTTAAGGTTTCTCCCTAAAATAACCTCCCTCTCTCACCCCACCAACTTATATTTTCCTTTATTTTCTTAGAAGTAGCACATACTATTAAATTGTTTTATTTATGTGTTTAATTGATCACTTGCATTGGTCTTCCTCCATTAGAACGTAAGCTCTGTGAAAACCAGAGACCTCATCTGTCTTGTACATCAGTGTGTCCCTAGCATCTAGAACAGTATCTGGTACATAATAGGCACCCAGTAAATGTTAGTTGAATTAATAAAATTCTAAAGCTGAGCAGAAAGTCTATTTATACACATATATTAAGCAATATTGATTTACTTCAGAATGAGTGTTGATATAATCACAGCTATGGAAAATACGCTGGGATTAACTAGCTTTGTTATTAAATTCATGCTAAACTTTTTCTTTTTCGCAGGTGATCAGAGGACTGCTGAAATTTTGGCCAAAAACCTGCAGTCAGAAAGAGGTGGGTTTTGTTCACTAAATGTAGTGCATTTTACTAGAACTTGTCAATCCCAGGGCTATAAACCATGCTTCTTTGGGCTGGCTGTATTGCTGTTGCTAAAGAGCGGGAGATGTACACAGACTTGGTAGAAGACCTGTGCTATAGTAAACTCTGCCATCCAGACATTTTTTTGCTTATTGTATACTATGCAGATTAACCTTCTCATTTGTATGGTTTCTATATTAGTTTCACATAATTTATCATGTTTCTTAAAATAAAATTTTTTTAACCTAGGTGATGTTTTTAGGAGAAATTGAAGAAATCTTAGATGTCATTGAACCAACACAGTTCAAAAAAATTGAAGAGCCACTTTTCAAGCAGATATCCAAGTGTGTATCCAGTTCTCATTTTCAGGTATGATGTTTTCAGTGAAGCCTTTACTTTACACTAGTATTTCTTTCCTATTTTAGTTTTGACATTTCTCTAAATGTCTTTTTTTAGGTTGCAGAAAGGGCATTGTACTTCTGGAATAACGAATATATTCTTAGTTTGATTGAGGAGAACATTGATAAAATTCTGCCAATTATGTTTGCCAGTTTGTACAAAATTTCCAAAGAACACTGGAATCCGTAAGTATCTTTTATATAGGTCGTATTTTTTTCTTTTTTTTTTTTTATATCTTTTTGTTATTGATTTCCTAACTCATACTTGAAACCTATTACAGATTTGGAAGTTACTCCAAGGTTAACATCAGTTGTATTCTATTCTGTATTTTATATACGTATACCTTTATCAAGTTATAAATGTGTGTGTTTGTTCAGTATGTGGTCTTAATGTCAATTTATTTTTAAAATTTTTTTAGAGACAGCCGGGCGCGGTGGCTCACGCCTGTAATCCCAGCACTTTGGGAGGCCGAGGCGGGCGGATCACAAGGTCAGGAGATTGAGACCATCCTGGCTAACACGGTGAAACCCCATCTCTACTAAAACTACAAAAAATTAGCCGGGCGTGGTGGCGGGCGCCTGTGGTCCCATCTACTCGGGAGGCTGAGGCAGGAGAATGGCATGAACCTGGGAGGCAGAGCTTGCAGTGAGCCAAGATTGTGCCACCGCACTCTAGCCTGGGCGACAGAGCAAGATTCCGTCTCCAAAAAAAAAAAAAAAGAGAGTCTTGCTCTGTTGCCCAGACTGGAGTGCAATGGTGCAATCATACCTCACCGTAGCCTCAAACTCCTGGGTTCACGCAATCCTCCTGCCTCAGCCTCCCGAGTAGCTACGACCACAGGTGTGCACCACCATACCCAGCGAATTTTTATTTTTATTTTTTTTGGACAGTTGAAGTCTCACTATATTGCCCAGGCTGGACTGAAACTCCTGGGCTCAAGTGATCATCTCACCTTGGCCTCCCAAAGTGCTGAGATTATAGGCATGTACCACTGTGCCCAGCCTTCATGTCAATTTAAAATTGCAAATCTCCCTGGAGGTTGTGGTCAAACCCTCTTGGGGAGACCAACTGAACATTTGCAGAGGATACACAAACTACTCCGTTAATGCAGAGTTGTGTTGGTCTACTCTCAGTGTATAGTCTCCCCTCTATAAATGGCACTGTCCCAGGGGAAAGCCGAAGTGCTAAGGGTAATATATTCTAACTTCTTTAACATCCTTATCCGGCTTTCTACTTTTCATAAGTTTTGGTAATTGGATCTTTTTCATCTTCTTTTAATGTTGTTACTCAGGATTTCAGACATGAGACTGTAAAGCAGAAATGAAGATAACTATAGTGAACATTTTTAACTAGAGTTTAATGTAAGCATGATAAAATGGAAAAGATTTAAGTTTTCTTAGACTGTCTCTACCACCACTTGCTGTATGACCTTGAGCATATTACAAACCTCTTGAGCCTCAGTTTTATCATCTCTAAAATGGATTAAATGAAATCAGCCAAGCTTTAACCCATTTTAGAGACCATAGTGTTACATTTCCTCTCTGTTAGCAGTATCATAACTCAGGACTGGCTCATTTTCATTTCAGGACCATTGTAGCACTGGTATACAATGTGCTGAAAACCCTAATGGAAATGAATGGCAAGCTTTTCGATGACCTTACTAGCTCATACAAAGCTGAAAGACAGAGGTATTTGATATTTTGAATTACAAAATTATCTATACATTTTATGTTAGTTGAATGTGATTCAGTTCAGGAAGGTATCTTCTCTCAGTTCAGATTTTCATATTTAAGAAGTTAATTACCTTATAGTAAACATTACAATGTGAAAGTCTCTTAACATATAAGTCATTTCCAGATAAACTAGCCCCAGTATTTTTATAAATTTGTTAAAGCAGAAAAAGCAGTAGCATTTATTTTTGAGGGTAGTTACATAATTTACTTCCTCTAAATGGTTAGATTATGATTTTAATGTGGATCATAAATCCTGTTTATCTCATTCTGAGCCTTAGATTTCCTCAGTCTGTTAGCATCTGCATATGAAATATAATTTATGCTGAATTTTAAATATCAATTTGTACAATTTGATTTTTTATCCATGCATTTACGAAAATCCTTTTTGTCCACGTGGGCTTCCAGAGTGAGCTTTACTTTTCAAGTGTTCTTTGTTAGCAGTAGGTAATTCTTACGCTGTGGATTATCAGAAGGTGGTATTTTAAAGTCAGCATAGTTCTCCTTTGGGAAGAGGGAAGTCACATAATGATATGGCTTAGGGTACTATTAATATGTTGTCCTTGCAATAATATGTATTTTAGAGTATAAATGTTAGCACGTATCAGCCTTTAGGAACATGGCCTAGTGATTACCTCTTTTTGAGAATTTCATAAATTACTATAAAATAATCTTTCAAGAGTTACTTTCTTCTCATATGTTTATTTCAAACTCAAGAAGCACTTTCTTAAACTTAAGTGGTTAGTAACCAGTGTACCTGAGCCCACCCATTATTTGAGGATAACAGTTACCATTTACTTCTAATAAGCATATTACCTGTTCTGTTTAGAAAAGCTATCTATTTTGACAAGTTCCTAGTTATGGTTATCTTAAAGTAGAAAATGGATAGCCTTTCTTCAAAGCCATCCAGCCCATTAATAACTAACTCAATGCATTATTTCCTTTAAATAGCAGCATTCAGGCAGGAATAGAAATTAAGTACATGTTTTGAGCCTCAGGAAGCAATGGGAAGAAAATAAGATGACTAGGATCATAGGAAACTTGTATTTGAAAAATATGTATTTCACATGACTAAGAATATACTCATCATTTCTTACCTGCATAAATCAGCAAATCCTTTAAAAGGATTTGTCCTTTTAACTCATAACTGCAGAATTATAAGCCTATGTTTTACATGTTCATGGAGCCTTTCAGAATAGACAGGTTCAAGTTACTCAGAAATGTTTTCCTTAGAACTGAAATTAATTAGTTGAAACGACATATGAAATATTTTGACCTTCATTTTGTTCTAGAGAAAGATTACTGAAACTAAAGTTTTCATTTGACATGTAAAAGAGGAGCTAGTAAGATACAAACTGGTTAGTGGCTAGAGATGTGGCTGTTAGTGGCAAAAATGATGTGGCTTCTGTCTGGTGTGGTGAAGGAAGTGCTTCCTACTGACCTAGTGGCCAGCCCCTTCAGCCTTTGTAATACTGATTAGACTACTACAACTGCAAGATGTTTACGTGAGAAAATTGACGTGTAAGTACTTTGTTGACTATAAAGTACAGTGTCATGGTAGTGATAATGTGTAGGGGACAGAAAGCAAGTAGTAACGTCTAGCTGGTACAGGAGATGCACAGACTCAGTACATTTAGGAGAGTGACAAGAAGAAATTAGGTGCTCCAGGTAAGTGGACTCCAAAGCTTTAGCAGAGGGATTTAAGTGAAATGTGGGTAAGTAATGTGTTCTCCAGTAAGCTGTCAAACAGCACCTCTCTTTGGGTTCTGAAATAATTTCTGATTACAAAAATTTTGGTTTATCTACAGAGAGAAAAAGAAGGAATTGGAACGTGAAGAATTATGGAAAAAATTAGAGGAGCTAAAGCTAAAGAAAGCTCTAGAAAAACAGAATAGTGCTTACAACATGCACAGTATTCTCAGCAATACAAGTGCCGAATAAAAAAAAAGCCTCCCACCTCTGCCGGATAGGCAGAGTTTTGTATGCTTTTTTGAAATATGTAAAAATTACAAAACAAACCTCATCAGTATAATATAATTAAAAGGCCAATTTTTTCTGGCAACTGTAAATGGAAAAATATATGGACTAAACGTAGCCCTGTGCTGTATCATGGCCATAGTATATTGTAACCTTTGTCTAATCATTGGATTTATTGTGTCACTTCTGAAGTTTCACAGAAATGAATGAATTTTATCATCTATGATATGAGTGAGATAATTATGGGAGTGGTAAGAATTATGACTTGAATTCTTCTTTGATTGTGTTGCACATAGATATGGTAGTCTGCTCTGTATATTTTTCCCTTTTATAATGTGCTTTTCACACTGCTGCAAACCTTAGTTACATCCTAGGAAAAAATACTTCCTAAAATAAAACTAAGGTATCATCCTTACCCTTCTCTTTGTCTCACCCAGAAATATGATGGGGGGAATTACCTGCCCTAACCCCTCCCTCAATAAATACATTACTGTACTCTGGAATTTAGGCAAAACCTTAAATCTCCAGGCTTTTTAAAGCACAAAATATAAATAAAAGCTGGGAAAGTAAACCAAAATTCTTCAGATTGTTCCTCATGAATATCCCCCTTCCTCTGCAATTCTCCAGAGTGGTAACAGATGGGTAGAGGCAGCTCAGGTGAATTACCCAGCTTGCCTCTCAATTCATTCCTCCTCTTCCTCTCAAAGGCTGAAGGCAGGGCCTTTCCAGTCCTCACAACCTGTCCTTCACCTAGTCCCTCCTGACCCAGGGATGGAGGCTTTGAGTCCCACAGTGTGGTGATACAGAGCACTAGTTGTCACTGCCTGGCTTTATTTAAAGGAACTGCAGTAGGCTTCCTCTGTAGAGCTCTGAAAAGGTTGACTATATAGAGGTCTTGTATGTTTTTACTTGGTCAAGTATTTCTCACATCTTTTGTTATCAGAGTACCATTCCAATCTCTTAACTTGCAGTTGTGTGGAAAACTGTTTTGTAATGAAAGATCTTCATTGGGGGATTGAGCAGCATTTAATAAAGTCTATGTTTGTATTTTGCCTTATGTCATCTTTGCTTCTTTTAGCTCTAAGCTTAGGCATACAGGAGAAGTCTGCCCCCCTTTTTACATACATATGTGTATTTATAGAAACTTTTAAGACAAATTGTGGGACGAAGTCTAATTTAAAAATAGGAAGATTGTGTGCCAAGGTTGAGTGTTCTAGCCCTTTACCAAAATATGTTTTACAGAATATTTGCATAAAATTCTAAGTTCTAGGATATCTTTCCATCATCTTTCATATCCTTGTATGTTAAGAGGATGGGTTTAATTTACTTTGAAGCTAATTTTTCATAATCCATAATAAATAGCACTTCTAGTGAAGAGCAGGGAGCCTGTGGCACAGTTAGAAATCAGGTATTATTGGCTGGGTGCGGTGGCTCGCGCCTGTAATCCCAGCATTTTGGGAGGCCGAGGCGGGCCGATCACCTGAGGTCAGGAGTTCAAGACCAGCCTGGCCAACATGGTGAAACTCTGTCTCTACTAAAAATATAAAAACTAGCCATGCGTGCTGGTGGGCGTCTACAATCCCAGCTACTCGGGAGGCTGAGGCAAGAGAATCGCTTGAGCCCACAATGACCCAAGATGCACTCCAGCCTGGGCGACAGAACAAGATTCTGTCTCAAAAAAAGAGAAAGAAATCAGACATTATTGTAATAAAGTGTTATCTGCTACTGATGTTTACTTCTGCTTTAATATTAAAAACTCTAGCACAGGGGATGCACACTACTCCCAGGTCATCATGAAAGCAGTGTACCAAAAGGAAGAGCACTAAAATTCTTTTACAACAATAGCTCATGCTTTGTTTTTCTCAAGTAGTAGGTATTGCAGAGTCATCTTGTCATGGCCATCAGGTTAAGGTGTTCCTTCTAGATTCTCTACACTCACCCAGGGTCAGCTAGTATTGCTGACAGCTGGGGGACAGCGCAGTTAAAAATGATGATCCTACACAAAACAGAAGGAAAAGGCAAGCGCCTGCCTTTCCAGAAAGTGAAGGTTATGTCTAAATGTCTATTCTGTAGAAGGTTTAGGTATATTTCTTTTACTGAAGAGCAACCAGAGTAGATTTTGACAGGTTACAGCTAATAAAGGTTTTTCTCTCTGAAAAGGTAAAATCGTTCACTTCCTAATTATGTGCTTACATGAAAGCAGATTTAATAGGTCTCTCAACTTTATTTATTTATTTATTTATTTATTTTGAGACAGAGTCTCACTGTGTTGCCCAGGCTGGGGTGCAGTAGCATGATCTTAGCTCACTGCAACCTCTGCCTCCTGGGTTCAAGTGATTCTCCTGCCTCAGCCTCCCAAGTAGCTGGGATCATAGGCGCGCACCACCACACCCGGCTAATTTTAGTATTTTTAGTAGAGATGGGGTTTCACCATGTTAGTCAGGCTGATCTCGAACTCCTGACCTCAGGTGATCCACCCGCCTCAGCCTCCCAAAGTGGTGGGATTACAGGCGTGAGCCACCATGCCCAGTCTCAACTTTCTACAATACAGAGAATATAGTATGTTCATTGAAACAAATTTTATTAGATATTTAAGTAATATTAAAGTGACTGGCCGGGCACAGTGGCTCACGCCTGTAATCACAGCACTTTGGGGGGCTGAGGCGGGTGGATTGCTTGAGCTCAGGAGTTCCAGACCAGCTTGGCCAATATGGTGAAACCCTGTCTCTACTAAAAATACAAAAATTAGCCAGGCATGGTGGCACATGCTTGTAATCCCAGCTACTTGGGAGGCTGAGGCAGGAGAATCACCTGAACCCAGGAGGCAGAGGTTGCAATGAGCCGAGATAGCGCCACTGCACTCCAGCCTGGCAACAGAGTGAGTGAGACTCTGTCTCCAAAGAAAAAAAAGAAAAAAAAAAAAAGAGAAAGTGACATATTGTCAGACATGCTTTAAAAAAACACACCCCCCTTTTTCACTCCCCTTTTTATCAGTACTGTTAATGTAAGCTTTTATGCCTGGCTTTGCATTTGCCCTGCAATAAAATAAGATTTTATAAAGAGACCTAGGCTAAAACTTGAATTCTCATGCTTCTGTGGAGCAGAAAAGTGGCAGGGAATATTTCTTTATACAGTTCACTTTTAATCATTCATCCAAAAAACAGTTTCTTCCCATTTAAAATGCCTATTCATACATTTGAGTTATTCCCTTTGGATTATCGGAAGCCAGATTACAAAATTTAGGAAATGCTACCAAGTCCTCTTTGAAGCAACAGGCACATAAATAATTTAAAACTCTGGAAACAATTTTTAGAACCTTAATGTGAAAAATAGACTTTTTTTTAATGCATACTCATTTCTGTCAAAGGCTAGGCTAAAAGCTTTTTGAGGGTCACACTGCGTATGCCCCTTCCTCATATGATGGGTAGTTTTGTGGACACAGTAAAGAGTTAACCCAGCTTCCTCGGGGACACCAGGTCACTCTTTCTGGACACCTGCCATCAGTTGCCATGCCTAACAAACCCTTCCCTGGAAGCAGTTAGAACATACCTTGGGAGTCAGATCCATCTTGGGAGTCCAGACTCATACTACCTTTTTGTCCTTGGAAGTCACCAAATGAAAGTAATTGTGCCCGATGATTGAGCAGATATTCATATTGTCACACTCGTTCCTTTTGTATTAACTTTTATTTACCTGTTAATGAAATCATCAAAATACAATGAGTAGGCACCTTCTATGTACATCTGTCCTAGTGCTTTTGAGTGTTAATCTAAACTCATACATCAACAAACATTCTAGCCGGACAAGTAGGTGGCTACTCAGTCCATTAAGAAACTTAATTACTAGTTTCTAGTAGCCTTAAAGTCTCATTTAACATTTAACAAATCAAAGAGCATGTCAGAGGCTGGACATCAATGGCAGATGATGCCAAAGTCATAGGGTTTTGCCTTTGTGTACAGTGCATAGGCTCCAAAGCATGACCTGCACGTCTTGATACTCAGGAATTTTTGGAAAAAGAAAATCACACTCTTTTGTCCACTTTTAAAAAGTGAAAAGTAGAGCCTTCATTACCCTAGTAGAGCTTAACCTAATACAATACAATGAACCAAACAGGAAGAAAGGCATCTTCTACAAACCCTATTCAAAAGTCATTGGCCAGCTCTTTAAAAAGTTTATTAATAATTTAAATATTTAAATAACTTGTAGGTTTATCCATTAGTCTCTTCTATTAGGCTCTACACCGCCTCTTTTGGGACGGGGTTAGAAGTTCCAGTTTTACATGCTGTTCCTCCCAGCAAGGCCCCATTTCTTCAAGTGAGTACAGGATTGTTGATAGCTCCGTTTACAAAGTGGAAGTGATGACAGCTCCCATTGATGTGGACAGTTCTCTAAACAACGCGAGGTGACTTCAGCTTATGTGGCTCGTTGCCTGACCTCTTCTTTTAAGGTATCTCTTTCTAATTTTGATCATCCATTTTATACTCAGTTTGGCAAACTCTGCTGCTTTAAATAATGCCAAGAAGGCGCCACAGAGAAGAGCAATTGTGTTCCAAGGATTGGCAGTGACTATCTGTGAAGCAAACAGAAACAAACAGGATTACTGGTTTGCTTCAGTCTTGATTCTTTTTTTTTTTTTTTTTTTGAGATGGAGTTTCGCTCTTGTCACCCAGGCTTGTGTGCGTGGCGCAATCTCGGCTCAGTGCAAGCTCCGCTTCCTGGGTTCAAGCAATTCTCCTGCCTCAGCCTCCCGAGTAGCTGGGATTACAGGAACCTGCCACCACACCTGGCTAATTTTTTGTATGTTTAGTAGTGTTATTATCAAGAGCCCTTCCCAAATTATTGGGACTATAAGAAAAATACCTGGGTTCTGAAACTGTCATAACTCTATATACTTCATTCAGACTATACTTTTAATGTCCATAGCTCAGTTTGAGGAGAAAAATACTGACTCCTCCCTATAATAAAGTGATTCTGAAAGAAAGCTGTTTTTCAAAAAAGCTCTGCACAAATAAGATAGGCAATATTTAATTTTGTGGCCTAATCCAACAATAAGTGACCTTGCTTTGAGATGAATTTCCCTAAAACTATACCCAGTCCATAAGAAGGTGAGCTCCTCTTGTTCCCATCTCATAGTTACCATAGTTTCAAGTGTTTCCTCATTTCTAGTCCAATGGCTGTCTTTCCTCCCAAACTCAGAGGAGGATTCCTGCCTCCAGTCCTCTGCTCTTTTCCCCATCTACGATGCTTTCCTCCTGTCTAGGTTTACTCATCCTTCAAAGTCTCAGAGCTTTCCCTGACCACTAAGCTAAAACCCTTTCTGGACTTCAGCAGAGCTATTTATCCTATGAATGCCCTTCACAGTTCCTTATGGTCTGGAATCAATAATTTAAAACAATAGGATTGTTCTCTCACTAACTCTTGAAGGCAGAGTTGTAACTCTTTAAGGCAGAGTTCTTATCTTGGATTTCTGACTTCCACAACCTGGTAAGAATACTTTTTTTTTTTTTTTTTTTTTGAGATGGAGTCTCACTGTCGCCAGGCTGGAGTGCAGTGGCGCGATCTCAGTTCACTGCAACCTCCGCCTCCCGGGTTCAATCTATTCTCCTGCCTCAGCCTCCCGAGTAGCTGAGACTACAGGCACATGCCACCACGGCCGGCTAATTTTTTGTATTTTTAGTAGAGACGGGGTTTCACCATGTTGGCCAGGATGGTCTCGATCTTATGACCTCGTGATCCGCCTGCCTCAGCCTCCCAAATAAAATACTTCTAAGCTCAATTTAGCAGGGTGACCTTAGTATGCATTTCATTGTTCACATATGAAAATGGTGATACCACCACTTGACTGCTGTGAAGCTGAGTAAAGCATGCCTCGGGTACTGGGCTCCACTTGGCCCATAATAGGTACCTCATACTGAATATAGTAGGTTAAAAAATGTTTTATCACACATTACACAACGAGCTGCAAGCCCTTCTCCCCAGTCTTGATTCAATAAGCCTCTGCACATCCCTCTTCATACAAAGCCTTGCCAGTCCATAATTAATAGTGGTAGTGGGTGATAGCAGAGCAAGCACATCCGTATCACAGAATCCCCACCTGGGGGTGGAAGCTTACACGTTTGGGTCTCAGCTATGAAACAGTTTCCTGTAAGCCATGATCACATCAGGATATATTATGATGACATGAATGCCAATCAATACTAGATTTAGGCCTGGCTCTGGTGGACGGTGTGTCTTAAATGTTCCTTTAGCAAAGCTGTCCAATTATTCCTCCCCTTCCAAGATCATGAGTCAGAATTTGACGTTAGAGGAGGTGGAGCCAGATGGCTAAAGAGAACCCTCCAGCGATAGTCCTCTGCAGCAACACCAAACTCAGCTATCCATGTAAGAAAGTATCTACACAAGAGCCAAAAAACCAGGTGAGAGATCACAGTATCTGGTTTAGTATAATAACAGGAAAAGACACACTGAAGAAGAGTAGAAAGGAGGGTCTCACGCTGCCTACACACCCCTCCCCCAACCTTAGGCAGTGCAGCAGAGAGAATCTGTGAGCTTGGGAGAGGGAAGTGAGTCTGGAACTTGCATTGGAACTTCACAAGGGAAAACAGCACCAGGCAGAATTCTGAGGCCCTGATTCCAGGCTAGAGCCCGTGAAAAGAGTATTAGGCCCACCCCAGATCAGAGGGGCATCTACCACCCCAGTGGGAGGAAACCAAGTCTGGGCCCACTTTACAATAGACTAAAGTGGCCTTAGGCCCCAAATAATTTCAGTGGCAGCCAGGCCATAGCAACCACAGCTCTGATACTGCACTGGTCTGGGAGTCTGTGGGTTTGGGGTGTGATCCAGCATGACACCAGCTGCCTCAACTCCAGGCAGTGCAGCATGGTGGAACACTCCTGCTTGGGCAAAGGAGAGGGAAGAGTATGAGGGACTTTGCCTTGGAACCTAGTACCAGCCCTGCCACAGCACCAGGAAGAATCCCGAATCCCCTAATTATAGGCTATTGCTCCCAAATGGCACTTCTAAACCCACCCTGGCCAAAAGGCAATCGGCCACCCTAGCAGGATGGACCCAAACCCCAGCCAGCTTCACCACTGGCTGACTAAAGTGGCCTTAAGCAAACCCCAGTATTGCATTGGTTTAGGAGGGACCCAGGGTGGTGCCAGCTGTGACAGCCATGGGAGTACCTGCCTTACCCCTCCCCAACTCCAGGCAACTCAGAGCAGAGAGACTCCTTCCCCTTGAGGGAAAGATAAGGGACTTTGCCTGGGAACCCCCAGGGCATTCTCTCTGATCCTCCCCAAGTACATCAGGGCTGGATATCTAGAAGTCTACAAGATAGTCACAGTGTAACTTGGCTTAGACTGCCCTCTAGTGCTGAAACAGCTGCAGTGACTGACTACACGCTTAGGGAACTCATCATCAGTCACCTTTCAATTTGTAGAAAATCTCCTGAAGATAGATGGGTATAAACAAGGGCAGACTGTGAAGACTGAAATAAACACCTAAATCTTCAATGCCCATAGACAGACGTACACAAGCACCAGAAAAGTTCAGAGAAATACAATCTCATCAAACAGACTAAGGTGCCAGTGACCAATCCGGGAGAGAGAGATGTGTGACCACTCAGGGAATTCAAAATAGATGTTCTGAGGAAACTCCAGGAACTTCAATGAAACACAAAGACTCAATTCAGAAATTTATCAAAGAAATTCAACAGAGATTAAAATAATTTTTAAAAATTCAAATAAAAATCCTAGAGCTGAAAAGTACAATTAACAGACTGAAAAATGCATCAGAGTGCCTCACAGAATTGATCAAGCAGAAGAATTAGTGAGCTTAAAGACAAATTATATGAAAATACACAAATAAAAAAAAAAGAATGAAGAACACTCACAAGGTCTAGAAAATAGCCTCAAAAGGGTAAATCAAGAGTCAATGGCCTTGGCCGGGTGCGGTGGCTCATGCCTGTAATCCCAGCACTTTGGGAGGCCGAGGCGGGCGGATCACAAGGTCATGAGATCAAGACCATCCTGGCTAACACGGTGAAACCCTGTCTCTACCAAAAATACAAAAAATTAGCCGGGCGTGGTGGCGGGTGCCTGCAGTCCCAGCTACTCGGGAGGCTGAGGTAGGAGAATGGTGTGAACCCGGGAGCTTGCAGTGAGCTGAGATTGGGCCACTGCACTCCAGCCTGGGTGACAGGGTGAGACTCCGTCTCAAAAAAAAAAAAAAAGAGGCAAAACAAAAATATAAATAGATATAATAAAAAGTCAAAATGTGAGGAGTATGGAGTTGAAGTGTAGTTTTAAAAGTTTTTTGTTTCTTTGTGATCAAAGTTAAGTTGTCCTCAATTTAAAATAACTTGTTTTAACTGCAAGATGTTTTTTATAAGCCTTATGGTAACCATAAAGCAAAAACCTATAATGGATATAATAAAAATAAAAAGTAAGGAATTTAAAGAGATAATCATTTATCCACAAAGACAGTAAGAAGAATGAAGTTACAAAACCAAAAAACAAAAAACGAAATAGCCGTAGTAAGTCCTTCTCTATCAGTAATAATATTGAATGTAAATGGACCAAATTCTTAAGACACAGTTGCTGAATTTATTAAAAAACAAGACCCAACGGTATGCTGCCATACAGCGTATAGTTCACCTGTAAAGATACACAGATTGAAAGTGAAGAGACAGGCCAGGCGTGATGGCTTATGCCTATAATCCCAGCACTTTGGGAGGCCAAGGTGGGCAGATTGCTTGAGATCAGGAGTTTGAGACCAGCCTGGTCAACATGGCAAAACCCTGTCTCTACTAAAAATACAAAAATGAGCCAGGTGTGGTGGCGCATGCCTGTAATCTCAGCTACTTGGGAGCCTGAGGCAGCAGAATCACTTGAACCCGGGAGGTGGAGGTTGCAGTGAGCCAAGATCATGCCACTGCACTCCAGCCTGGGCAAGAGAGCAAGACTCCATCTCAGAAAAAAAAAAAAAAAAAGTGAAGGGATAGAAAAAGACATCCCACACAAATGTAAATAAAAAAACAGGTTTAACTATACCTGTAACAGATAAAATAGACTTCAAGTCAAAAACTGGAAAAAGAGACAAATATCATTATGTAATGATGAGGGAGTCAATTCAACAAGAAGATACAACAACTGTAAATATGTATGCATCCAGTATCATCAAAGAAACCACATATATAAAGCAAATATTAATAGATCTAAAGGGAGAGACAGACTGCAATACAGTAATAGTAGGGGACATCAACGTCCGACTCACAAAAATGGACAGCTTATCTAGACAGAAAATCAACAAACATGGGATTTAAACTATACTCTAGACCAAATGGACCTAACTGACATTTACAAAACATTTCATCTGGCCAGGTGCGGAGGCTCACGCCTGTAATCCCAGCACTTTGGGAGATCAAGGTGGGCAGATCAGGAGGTCAGGTGATTGAGACCATCCTGGCTAACACAGTGAAACCCCGTCTCTACCAAAAAATACAAAAAAAATTAGCCGGGCCTGGTGGCAGGCGCCTGTAGTCCCAGCTACTCGGGAGGCTGAGGCAGGAGAATGGCGTGAACCCGGGAGGCAGAGCTTGCAGTGAGCCGAGTTCACACCACTGCACTCCAGCCTGGGCGACAGAACGAGACTCCGTCTCAAAACTCCAACTGCTACAGAATATACATTTTTCTCATCAGCACATGGAACATTCTCCAGGGGAGACCATATGTTGGGCCACAAAACAAGTTTCAACTAATTCAGAAAAATTAAAATCATATTAAGTATCTTGTCTGACCACAGTGGAATAAAACTAGAAATCAATAATGAGGAATTTTGGAAACTGTACAAATACATGGAAATTAAACATGATGCTCCTTAGTGACCAAAGGTCAATGAAGAAATTAAGAAGGAAATTTTAACATTTATTGAACAAATGAAAATGGAAACAATATACCAAAGCCTATGAGATACAGCAAAAGCAGTACTAAGAGGGAAGTTTATAATAAATGCCTACATCAAAAAAAGTAGAGATTTCAAATAAGCTAACGATCACCTCAAAGAACGAGAAAAGAACAAACCCAAATTTATCAGAATAATAATTATCAGAGCAGAAATAAATGAAACTGAAACTTAAATGAAAAGTTAGTTGTTTGAGGCCGGGCGCAGTGGCTCACACCTGTAATCCCAACACTTTGGGAGGCTGAGGCCGGCAGATCACAAGGTCAAGAGAACAAGACCATCCTGGCCAAAATGGTGAAACCCATCTCTACTAAAAATACAAAAATTGGCTGGGCATGGTGGCGGGTGCCTGCAATCCCAGCTACCTGGGAGGCTGAGGCAGGAGAATCGTTTGAACCCAGGAGGCGTAGGCTGCAATGAGCCAAGATCGCAACTGCACTCCAGCCTTGTGATAGAGCAAGACTCCATTTCAAAAAAAAAAAAAAAAAAGAAAGAAAAGTTAGTTGTTTGAAAAGTTAAACAAAATCTAAGTTAAACAAAATCTATCTAAGAAAAATATAATGAAGACCCAAATAAATAAAATCACACCAAAATAAAAGACATTACAACTGATGCCACAGTAATATAAAGGATCATTAGAGACTTAATGAAAAACTATATGCCAATAAAGGAAAACCTAAAAGAAGTGGAAAAATTCCTGGATACATTGTCTACCAAGATTGAACCATGAAGAAACAGAAAACCTGAATAGACCAATATGAGTAACAAGACAGAGGCAGTAATAAAAGAAAAGCCCAGCACCTGATGGCTTCGTTGCTAAATTCTATCTAACATTAAAAAAAAATTAATAGCAATTCTACTCAAACTATTCCAAAAAATTGAAGAATATTCCCAAACTCGGTTCTGCAAGGCCAGCATTACCCTGATACCAAAACAAGACAAAGACACAACAAAAAATGAAAACTACAGGCCGATATCTCTGATGAACACAGATGCAAAAGTCCTCAACAAAGTATCAGCCAACCAAATTCAATAATACATTAAAAAGACCATTCACCATGATCAAGAGGGATCCATCTCAGAGATGCAAGGATGATTCAACATATGCAAATCAATAAATGTAATACATCACATTAACAGAATCAAGAACAAAAATCATGTAATCATTTCAATAGATGGTAAAAAAGCATTTAATAAAATTCAACATACTATCATGATAAAAACTCTCAATGTGCCGGATATGGTGGCTCACTCCTGTAATCCCAGCACTTTGGGAGGCCGAGGTGGGCAGATCACTTGAGGTCAGGAGTTTGAGACCAGCCTGGCCAACATGGTGAAACCTCATCTCCACTAAAAATACAAAAATTAGCTGGGCATGGTGATGTGCACCTGTAATCCCAGCTACTCAGGAGGCTGAAGCACAAGAATCATTTGAACCTGGGAGGCAGGGGTTGTAGTGAGCTGAGATCATGCCACTGCACTCCAGGCTGGGAGACAGAATGAAACTGTGTCAAAAAAAAAAAACAAAAAACAAAAAACAAAAAAAAAACAAAAAACTCAACAAACTGAGTATAGAAGGAACATACCACAATAAAGGCCATACATGACAAACCCACAGCTAACATCATATGGGGAAAAATTCAAAGTCTTTCTTCTAAGATCTGGAACAAGACAAGGGTGCCTACTTTCATTATTTTTGTTCAACATAATACTGGAAGTCCTAGCCAGAGCAATTAGACAAGAGAAAGAAATAAAGGGCATCTGAATTGAAAAGAAGTCAAACTGTCTTTGTTTGCACATGATATGATCTTATATTTTGAAAAACCTAAACACTCCACCAAAAAACTGGTAGACCTGATAAATTCAGTAAAGTCACAGGATACAAAATCAACACACCCAAATCAGGAATATTTCTATATGCTAACAGCGAGCAATCTAAAAAACTTATAGCAATGCAAGAATAAAATAAAAAAGAGAGCAATCCCATTTATAATAGCTATAAAAATATAAAATACCTAGGAATAAATTTAACCAAAGAAGTAAAAAAATCGCTATAATGAAAACTGTAAAAATAGGGATGAAAAAATTGAACAGGACACAAAAAATGGAAAAATATCCTATGGTTCATGGATTGGAAGAACTAGCATAATGTCCACACTACCCAAAGCAATCTACAGATTGAATGCAATTCCTATAAAATACCAATGACATTCTTTACAGAAGTAGAAAAAAAATCCTAAATTTTGTATGGAACTACAAAAAACCCCAGATAGCCAAACCAATCCTGGGCAAAAAGAACAAAGCTGAAGGCATCACACTACCTGACTTCAAAATATACTACAAAGTTATAGTAAACAAAGCAGCATGGTATTGGCATAAAAACAGACACATAGACCAATGGAACAGAACAGAGAATCTAGAAATAAATCCATGTATATGCAACGAACTCATTTTTGACAAAGGCACCAAGAAAATACAATTGGGAAAGGATAATCTCTTCAATAAATGGTGCTGGGAAAATTGGATATCCATATGCAGAAGAATGAAACTAGACCCCTATCTCTTACTATATAGAAAAATCCACTCAAAATAGACTCAAATCTAAGACTTGAAATTATGAAACTAGAAGAAAACACTGGGATAATGCTTTAGGACACTGGTCTGGACAAAGATCTTTTTGGTAAGACCTCAAAAAGCAGAGTCAACAAAGGCGAAAACAGAAAAATGGGATTACATTAAGCTAAAAAGCTTCTGTACAGCAAAGGAAACAATCAACAAAGTTAAGAGACAACCTACAGAATGAGAGAAATTATTTGCAAACTATGCATCCAACAAGGGATTAGTAACCAGAATATATAAGGAACTCAAACAACTCAATAGCAAAAAAAGCCAAATAATTCAATTTTAAAATGGGCAAGAGATCTGAATAGAGATTTATCCCAAAAGATGATATTCAAATGGCCAAAAGGCATATGAAAATATGCTCAACAACACTAATCAATCAGGGAAATGCAAACCAAATCCAAAATAAGGTTATCACCTCCCCTCAGTTAAAATGACCACTATCAAAAAGACAGTAAGTAACAGATGCTGGTGAAGATGTGGAAAAAGGGGAATGCTTGTATACTGTTGGTGGGAATGTAATAATTTACATTATTAAACTCACTATGAAAAAACAGTATGGAGGTTCCTCAAAAAGCTAAAACTAGAACTACCATATGATCCAGCAATCTCATTGCTGGGTGCATATCCAAAAGAAAGGAAATCAAAAAAGAAAAGAAAAAAAAAAAAAAAGGAAATCAGTGTATCAAAGAGATATCCGCACTCCCATGTTTACTGTAGCACTATTCACAACAGCCAAGATATGGAATCAACTCAAGTATCCATCAACACTTAGGATGAATGGATAAGGAAAATGTGGTGTGTATATATATATATAAAACACAATGGAATATTATTCAGCCATTAAAGAATGAAATCCTGTCATTTGCAGCAAAACGAATGAAACTGGAGAACATTATGTTAAGTGAAATAAGCCAGGCACAGAAAAACAAATACCACACGTTCTCACTCATGTGGGAGCTTAAAAAAAAATGAGTCTCATGGAGGTAGCGAGTAAAATGGTGGTTACCAGAGGCTGGGAAGGGTTGGGGGAAGCAGGAGATGAAGAGAAATTGGTTAATGGGTACAAAAATACAGTAAGATAGATGACATGATAATACAGTAGAGCAATTATAGTTAACAAGAATGTATTATATATTTCAAAATAGCTAGAAGAATGTTCCCAATGCAAGGAAATTATAAATGTTTGAGATGATGGATAACCCAACTACCCTGATTTTTGATCATTAGACTTTGTCTGCATTTATCAAAATATTACATGTACCACATAAATATGTATATTATGTATCAATTTTTTTAAAATATGGCATTAATTAATGCTTTGTTAATATTTTATTTGTACCATTATGTTCTTACTACAAGTAGTATTTATCCTACAGGGAACCATTAAGAAAAAGAATAACTTGCAACTGCAGTAACCTGTATAGTGGTAACTTAATGCTTTCTACTCAATTTATTCAACGAACATTACTACTAAGCAGCTACTTTGCACTAAGCACTCCACTATATCCCAGATAAATTATGGTGAGCAAAATGAAAGTCCCCCTCCTTTACAGAGAAAGTCTAGTGATGAAGACAAGACCAAACACAAAGAATATATAACATTGATGTCATAAATATAAATTACAAGCTGATTTGTGCTATGAAAAAAGATGAGGACAGGTAGGTAGACTTATCAGTCTACAAGAATGAGCCAAAAGACTTCAGGGCAGCATCATAATCTTAAATAATACATCTATCATAATCTTAAATAATACTATCATAATCTTAAATAATACTATCATAATCTTAAATACTCACATCTTGGACTTTCTGGATGAAAGGATCTTTCCATTCAAAGACCACAAAAAACAATTGAGCACTTTTTTTGGCAGCTGGCCTCTGGTCAATGTAGTTAACCACACTTGTCTAGATGTGGAGGAGAGAAAGCAGTGTTACCACCTCTGTGTGCCCTTCCCTTGCCTGTGCCCAGCGAAAGGAGAGAGAGTAGGCAGGGGATCATAGTCTGTGGTTCTCCTCACACTATTTTTTGGAGAGAGAGTGGCAAAAATCTCATATATACAAGATCCTGACATTGGTAGCAAAGCCAAGGCTTTACCTTGGTTTCCACAGTTCTCTGGGGAAATGGGATCTGTGATTTACAATAGGTGTTTTGGATTGTCACTGAAATTTGTCACTAGGTATCTGTACTCACAATTAAACCATATTCAGGCCAGGCATGTTGGCTCACGTCTGTAATCCCAACACTTTGTGAGGCCTAGCCAGGCAGATCACCTGAGGTCAGGAGTTTGAGACCAGCCTGGTCAACATGGTTAAGCCCTGTCTCTACTGAAAATACAAAAATTAGCCAGGTGTAGTGGTGGGCGCCTGCAATCCCAGCTACTCAGGAGGCTGAGGCAGGAGAATCGCTTGAATCTGGGAGGCAGAGGTTGCAGTGAGCCGAAATAGTGCCACTGCACTCTAGCCTGGGGGACAGAGCAAGACTCTGTCTCCAAAAAAAATAAAATATTAAAAATAAACCATATTCAAACTACCATGTAAGACTCACAATTAAAAGCAATAAAAATTCCAAATTTCAAAGTACTTGGTTTTCAGATCAAGTATTTCTCTGAATTTTCAACGCTTGTTTCAACCCTTCAAGTTTACAGGGACAAAGCACAGCTGCATAGATCCACACAGCTGAGCATTCCCTGTAAATACTTAGTAGGTGTGCTTGGTGAGATCTGGTTGTCAATTACTAAAGACGCTGTGTGGTGTAACGGAGAGCAGACAGGTAACAAAGGCAGAAACCAGCTCCACCCAGAGGCTCAGATCCATCATCGAAGCTGAGCCTCAGCTTTGCCACCCACAAAGCTGAACAAAATGCCTACGTCACTACAGTATAGGGGCATACCTATGTGAGAGCACTCTAAACTCTAAAATGTGATTTTAAAACACATTTTTTAGTTTTGTTCAAAAGAGCTCATAATGCCAACAAAAGACTTCCAATTTAGACAGTAATAAAAGATGCTAAAATTTCTTTAATGTACAGGTTCACTAGAGTTTTCACCCTTTGGTTTCGGATCACAGTGGGAGCTATCAGAAAATCCAGGGTAGATGGGGTTGAACTTAATTGTAAGGTAAGTGAACACAGTCTCCTTCCTCAGAGCTGCTGTGGGGCCAGATAAGAAAGGACTTGAATTTCTTGGAGCAAATTTGGAGGTAAAAATCTGGGAGATGACAGTTATCTTACAAAACAGGAAGATTTTAAGGTCCAGTCACCAGGAGGGGTTGTCACTTCCCAAGGCAGGAAAAATAGCCTTGCTTCCTTGAAGAAAACTGGCTTTGAGCCTCTTCCAAGTAACCAGCCTGGACTAGTCTGAGGAGCTAGGGCTCATGACAGGGCCCTGTTTAAGACTAACCCAAGACAGTCTTCTCCGGCCTAACTTCTGGCCAGTGATGGCCTAGTTGACTGGAGTGTGTCCTTCTGCTCCAGATGAGCATCCCGAGCCACTGGGATACAAGAAGAAAAGACTAGCTTTTTTTACTATTTATTTTTATCTCATCCTTTTAACATTTCTATTTTTGAATGTTTAAAGTGTATATAACACTAAGACAATAATAGTATGTTATATCACCTGCAGAGTTATATGTATATGGAGTATATGATCAAAAAGTTTTTACTAATGGGAAATCTGATCAAAAAGCTTTCAGCCCACTGGCCTAGCAGCCAGGAGATACACCTGGCATCTCTCGCTGTGACACCTGTGAGAGCTGAAGAGGACCTTAGGAAAAGGATCAACATGCACACTTGGGACCACTGTGTCTAGTCTCTCTTCCCTGCAAATAATCAATCTGCTAGGCCACTGCCAGCCCCTCAAAGTGCTGCTAGATGCAAGACATCAGACACAGCTGGGCGAGTTACTGACCTCTCTGCAAGCCACAATGATCTCTGCCCCACACATGCATTCCGTGAGGACTGGCCGGTATGTGCGCTGCCTGCAGAAGCACACACAGACTCCCTGGCATAGCATATGAAGCCCTCCATGGGAGTCCCTTCTCATCCTGACCAAGGCCTACTCACCCTTAAGGCCCTGCTCAAAGGAGCCTTCTCTGCAAAGCTTCCCTCCACCTCAGACTCGAATGTGGAAAAGTCACCAGCAGTTTCAAGCAAACCCAGAGCCACCTACCTCCTGCCGGAACTCCACTGCTTCCCGCCCATCCTCCTCCTTGGTCTTTACCAGTGACATCTTGACCCAGGTGCGGAAGCCCCCAGAGAACTTCCAGCTGGAATAGGCACTCTCACAGGCCTGCATGAAGCCTACCCTGTTTGGGCTTGGAGGAAGGAAGGAGAAGGAAGATCCAGGTCAATGCAGGTCTGGCAGCAGGAGTCGAAGCCCCCACTGCAAGCTGGTTTCTTTGCTGGCACAACCAGGATGCTGCCCACTCCCTGCCTCCTCTCCAAATTGTGATTGCCTCAACAGGGCTGTCAGTCACCAGCAAAAGCAAGGCCCATCCCTCTTTTCTCTCCATTTGGTTTCCAAATGGAGGGGTAGTCACTGGCCTCAAGGCAGGAACATGATCCTTGAAGCTCCCAGTGGGAGAAATCTTCCTCCCTCCTCCCATCATTCCTATCGATGGCTACCAAAGCTGTCGGCAATGAAGTTGGCAGAAGCTCCCCAGAACATGGCGCTCACAGCTCCTCAGAGAACTCTGGACTTCAGCAGAGCCTGAGGAAGCCCTCACCAGCCTGTCAGCTCCCATGGAAGGCCCAAAGAGGGGAAGAGGGTTCCTTGGGGAGGTCTCAGCCAGATGGGTCACCTACAGCATCAGCCCCAAGACGGTGCAGATGCAGCAAAATCAAAGCGAACATAAAAACAAGTAAAAACTGCAGCAGCATACCGAGGAAGCTCACGAAAGGAGCGTGGAGTGGGGGTGGGATCCCGGGGAAAGTCTTCCAGGAGGAAGGCAAGATGGCCAGCTTGAAGCAGGGAAGGGAGAGGGAATTCTAGGTGGCAGAAAGGGTGGAAAATGCTAAGGCAGAGGCTCCGAGCTCTGGGGTGGAAGAACAAAGCAGTGGTGGTGTGGAATGGAGGCAGCTCGCTGCATGTCCAGCTGGGGAGCAGCCTCCCTGCCCCTGTAGCTGCCTCCCTGCTTGCTCTGAATGGAGCCTCTGGGCTCAGCAGGACCTGGTAGGAACTGAGTCCCTCTCAACTCAGGCACATGAAGAAAATTCTCCTGCCCTCTAGGCTCCACGGTGTGACCCCAAAGCAGTGTGTGTGGAGCAGACAAGAACTTTCTGATGGTCAGGGGACATTCATCACTGTAAATCGAAGACTAAGAGAGGTGGCAGAGCTTATATCCTCATACCAGAGATGCAGTAGACCCTTGAACAACACAGGTTTGAACTGGCTGGGTCCACTCACGTGCGGATTTTCTTTTGCCTCTGCCACTCCTGAGACAGCAAGACCAAACCTCCTCCTCAGCCTACTCAACATGAAGGCGATGAGGATGAAGGCCTTTACAATGATCACTTCCACTGAATGAATAGTAAGTATATTTTCTCTTCCTTATGATTTCCTTTTTTTTTTTTTTGGAGTCTCGCTCTGTTGCCCAGGCTGGAGTGCAGTGGCGCAATCTCAGCTCACTGCAAACTCTGCCTCCTGGGTTCAATCGGTTCTCCTGCCTCAACCTCTTGAGTAGCTGGGACTACAGGTGCCCGCTACCACGCCTGGCTAATTTTTTGTATTTTTAGTAGAGATGGGGTTTCACCATGTTAGCCAGGATGGTCTCGATCTCCTGACCTCGTGATCCGCCCACCTTGGCCTCCCAAAGTGGTAGGATTACAGGTGTGAGCCACCACACCTGGCCATGATTTTCTTAATAACATTTTTTTTCTCTAGTTTACTTTATCGTAAGAATACAGTCTATGATATATATAACCACGCAATATGTGTTGTTTATGTTATTGGTAAGGCTTCTGTCAACAGTAGGCTGTTAGTAGTTTTGGGGGTCAAAAGTTATACACAAATTTTTGGCTGCATAGGCAGGAGTGGTTAAGTTTGGTAACCCCAAACCCCAAGTTGTTCAAGGACCAACTGTATTTCAGGCAAACATACATTAAGCCCGCACTAAGGGCAAGATGTGGTTCCTGTGCACACTGTGGGGGAAACCAAGGAACCACACAAGAACTTGCTCTCAAAGGGACTTACAAATCAAAGGCAACTTCCCCTACTCCTCAGCAGCCCCAGGCAATGGTGAGACCAAATGATCTCTCTAGAACCAGCCAGCACTATGTGCATGGAGAGCCAGCATGCTCCTCCACACCAGATTTGCTTAACTTTGTGATAAGATGTTGAGTGGACCGGCCAAGCTCATGAGGTCCCTTCCTGGGCCAGTGGGTCATCTGAGAATGCCCCTTCCCTTCCCTGCCCTCACCCCTCCGTCTCTAGCCTTGGGACATACACAGCTGGAATAAGATAAAAAGTAGACAGTAAGCCCACTGTGAACTCTAAAAGCCCACCTTTGCAGGAACTCCTGGAAAGAAGAGAAGAGGAGGTAATCAATGGCGCTGAAGTCCTCACTACTCTTGTTCAGGCGGAACTGGAGGAAGACCAGCTCCCGCTTTTTCACTTCCCGGGGCCCCTGGACAATCAGGGCAGATTTCTGCAGAGAGAAAAAGGACAGAGTCTCAGTCCTGGGAGAGTACACAGAGGCCTCTGGGTCTGAGGGCAGAAGTACTGACTGGAAAGCCCATAGCTCCTTGCCCAGTGGTCTCCAAAGGGACCACTAGCCAACAACAGGACTGGGCTGGGACTCATGCTCATTCCTGGGGAGTTTTCCCCATATGATGCCCAACCAGAGCTGAATGCAGCTCATCCTCTGTCCACTTTTCTCATTGGTTCTTTGAGTTATGGAAGCTCTTAATTTAGCAAGGATGATCACTTTCATCTGTTATGTGTGCCAATCTTTTCTTCCAGTCTGTCATTTTTCTTTTAACTTTGTTTCCAATGTCATTTGTCCTATGGAAACTTTAAATTTAACGTAGTAAAACCTTAAATCCTTTTCTTTACGGCTTTGGGTTTTGCTTGCTGAGGAAAGCCAAAATTATATCAATATTCTCCTCTATTTCTTTATAGCACTTTTTAATCTTTTTTACATTTAGATACTTTATATACCTGGCTTTAAGCTCTGTATATAGTGTGAAATAGGGCTCTAACTCCTACTTCCCAAACAATGCATAGAGACAGGTTTTGAAGCCTCTTCCCCTCCCTCCTTTATCCTATACTAAATTCCATGCAGAACCAATATCTATGTCTGCTTCTGGCCCTAGCAGAGCCCACACATTTGTCTGTCTCTGTCCAGTACTGTGCCACTTTGATTCCTGTGGTTTTTCCACTGTTCTGAGATCTGGGAAGGTGCTCTCCCTACTACTCTTCCCCATCCCCAAACTTGTCTTGGTTATTTTTGAACGTGTTCTAAGTATGCTTTAAGACTAGCTTGCTTAGTTCCACAAAAAAATTCACTGGGACTTTTAACTGTGATAGAAACTGAATTTATAGATTAATTTTAGAAAAAAATGTCTTTTACATCAACTTTTATAAATAAATGCTCTACAGAGATTTGAAAAAGAGTGAGTACACTGTCAGTTACAAAGTTTTGTGCCCCCACATGTATACACACACATACATACTCTAAATTTATTAACTGCACTATTCAATTCTTATCCTTTCTAGTTTTTGTCTATTTGATCTGTGAATTTCTGAGAGGGGTGTTTAAATCGTGCTCTAAAGTGATGGTATTTTTTACTTCTAACGGGTTTTGCTTAAAATATATAAATGTCATGCTGTTTTGTACATAAAGTTTTGGAACTGTTCAGTCGTCTTAGTGGAGAGTATGGAGTTGAACCTCTTATCAATATTAAACATCCTTCTTGCAAACTTTTGCACGTGGAATTCCACACTATTAATATTGTCACTTCTGGTTTTCGTTGCATCTTCTCAAGACAGCTTTGTCCATCTATTTATTTTTCAACCTTTCTGTACCATTTTGTTTTAAGTGTGCAACAGAAAGCACTGTCCCTGGTTTCTATTATCCATTTCTTCCTTTAGTACTAGAATGGCTTTCCCAACCCAGATTTCAGCAGAATCCACTCCCCCTGCTGGAGCCTCATCTCTGCCCTCAAATGTAGCCACGTGATAAAGTTCCTAATGTGCGAAAGAAAAGGGGACTCATTCAACTCCACCCCATTTCCTGAAAAGGGAACTGCTTGCCCTCCACCTTCCCAGGCCTGGGCATGTGCACAGACACACACACACACACTGCACACACACACACACACACACACACACACACACAGCCCACATGGACCAGAACAATGCCCAGGGGACAGCACAGTGACACACACACACACACACACACACACTGCCCACATGGACCAGAACAATGCCCAGGGGACAGCACAGTGACAAGACAAAAGTCATGGCTGGACTATCCTATGAGGCAGTACTGCCCACTACGCCACACGGCCTGCATGCCAGGACTGTTCTCAGAGAGAGAAGGAGGCTTCTCCCTCATCTCAGCCATTGTATTTGCAGGTTTTGTTTTTATTTGGTAGCTTAGCCTATACTCTGACTAATACACAATTTGTTAGCTGACACTGGAGTGTTCTTGTTTTTTTTTTTTGAGACGGTGTCTCGCTCTGTTGCCCAAGCTGGAGTGCACTGGCGTGATCTCGGCTCACTGCAAGCTCCGCCTCCCGGGTTCAGGCGATTCTCCTGTCTTGCCCTCCCAAGTAGCTGGGACTACAGGCACGTGCCACTACACACGCCTGATTTTTTTATTTTTATTTTTAGTAGAGACGGGGTTTCACCATGTTAGCCAGGATGGTCTCGATCTCCTGACCTCGTGATCCACCTGCCTCGGCCTCCCAAAGTGCTGGATTACAGGCATGAGCCACCACGCCCGGCTGGAGTGTTTTATGGTTGCAAAAAAAATCAAAATGAGGGAACAGCCAAACATTTGGGCAGTGGGAAAATGGCGGGCAGTAAGGAAATAGATAAGGATCCCGCAGGCTGGAAAGGTGGCAAACCTTATTGTGCCAGAGCAGAGCATTTGGTAAAAAATAACTACCATTAAATTGAGAGCATGAAAGAAAGCACCAGAAAATCAGCAAAATTCCGAAGATTTTACAAATACAACAGGATGAGACCCTCGACTGGGGTCACTTTCACATGAACTTGATTAGATGCGAACAGCCAGAAGCCTACACATTTCTGAAATCTCACTGCAAACATAGGCAGTGGCAGGAGGCAGGTAAGAAGCCGCCCTCCAAGTTTGCAATTGTTTAGCCCTAAAGCTGCTCACACAAGCAGGAAGTGAGTGGCACAAGCTGTGCAGCCACCAGGGAGGGCGTATTTTCTAATGTCCACTTCAGATATGGCCACAGAGCATTACCACCAAGGCAGAAGCTCCCAGGGGACGAGGCCAGAGCACACAGGAGTCTCTTTCTGAGGGCAGCAACAGGTTCAAACCAAGGAGCTTACTTCATGCCAAGAAGGCGTCTCACCGGTCCCACCCTGCAGGGTTCCACCACTGCTGCAGAGCAGAGCTGCGGGCCCTTCCCCTTCTTCCTTTTCCAAATGGGAGCTCTACTGCTCTCATCATATTCTTCCTCCACTGCTATATGCTGGTTTGGGTAGGAAACTTGGTGGATAGGGAGGAGATAACTTCTCTGTTAGTTTATAGCTTGTGGACTTCAAGAAATTGATGGAGGAGATGAACCAACACTCAGACTTGGGGGCAGTAGCTGCATTCAACTTCATTTCCATAAAAACAACTCTCTCTTTGTGCCCTTATTTCAAGGGTTTTTACACTCTTTAGTCGAATTATGTAACTATTGTAACAAGTGCAACTGGCCTACACAGGTTTGGAAATGACCCTCACTGACTCCTCCTAAGCATACACTTCAACTGGGGGAGGAGAGGAGGGCATCCAGAGAATAGGCACCTAGTGGGACGGAAGCAGCCACGAGTTTTCATTAGCGTGTTTTACAGAGAGATGAAGGGAGCTGGGAATCCAGACAAAGAGCTTCTATTATACATATAACTCCACATTGGAATTGTTTAAAAGTTGCTTTCCTTTTTGTTTTAATTAGCTTCTACTTCCCTATTCTAGAGTCCATTCTATTTGTTCATCTTGGTCCTTTTCTGTCATTGGTTTCATGCAAATGTCTGGTGACCATTAATTCTCCATTCTTATTTATGAATGAAGGATTAGGTTGACTAGTATAGGTCTGGGTTTTGGTTTCTTCCAAAGTAGTAAATTTCTGTTTCTCTAATAGGCCTCTCCCTTGCATGGGAAAGCTAAGTATGCTCTGTGGAAGCACACTGAGTTTTCCAGTGTGTTTTACTCTGGGAAGAGTCCTTTCCTTTAGTTCTCTCTCCTTTTCCATTGTAGAAGTCTGCTCTGTTTCCTATGCCTACACAAAGAATCATCTTCCCTTCGCTTCTGTAGAGAATGGTTCCAGGGTCTTTTACCCAGAGGCAACCATCCCCAGCGGCTCTGCATACCTGGGGAGGGTATAGGGTGTGTCTGGCCCAGCCAACAGGCAGTCCAGTAATGACTACCCTGCTCTCTAACGGTGCTGATTCCAAGCTGGGGGTTTGGAAGGAAAGCTTGTACCTCTACAACAGGTCTCTCCTTCATCTGTTTTGGGTTAGGGATTTGCTCTAATTTGTTTGCTCCACCAATCTGGCCCAAGCTGTTTTTTATGCTTTATACCAGTTCCTCAAAATGTCTGGTCCACTGGTGATATCCTTTCTTCACGTGCAAAGCTATTATTGATGTTCTAGTCTGTTCTATCTCATTCCTTAGAGAATCATTTTAGCAGGATTTTAGGAGGGGGCCTAGCGTTCACATACTAACAAAAAAAAAATTAGTGTTATTCTTTCATCTTAAAACCCACTAACAGTTCCCTGTTACCCAAGGGAGCAAGTGTGGCTCTACAGCACGATGCATGTTCTTTTCTCATCTGGCCATTACTCTGTCCACAGCTTCATCACCCATCAGTCTTCCAGGGCTCCTGACCCTATGAAACATTTCCCCACCAACTGCAATTGTGCCCAGAGGCACAAGTACAACATGTCGTCTCTTCCCTTTAGGTCATGGTGCAATTTCCTCTGCCTAGAAAACCTTTCCTTCCCAATTTCATCTGGAAAACTATTGTAGCCCCTTTCAATGCTTTCTGAAGCAAGAATATGAAATGAAAAAGATGAGATGTAAATCAATACAAAACGCCTACCCTGTCTTTGAAACCCTGTGCAGTGCCACTCCTCCAGGGCGCTCCTAACCCCATCCCTCAGTCATCCTTCCCAGCCGTGCTGTGTTGTGCACGACAGCATGGCCAGCCCAGGGCCCAGGAGTCCTTGTCCCCAGACCGACGCTCCTTTACGCTGGCGTATTAATTTCAAACTATGGATTCTCAGGCCCCACCTAAGGAATTATAATTCAGTTGGCTTCACATGGAACCTAGAAATTCATATTTTCAAAAAGTATCCTGGCAATTCTGTCAAGTGGTCAGGTATGGGACCCACTTCGCTATATCGCACCAGCCCCACCCTTTAGCCCTGCCATTCTTCCATTGGGGACAGGGTCTCACCGCACTGTCAGGAATCCCTGAGCATTACTCAGCAAAGGCTGGAGGCCTCACTGTCCTCCCTGAATGCAAGTGAGCCAACCACAGCCAAGTGTCCACATGGCACAGCCGCATGTCTCCTTGGGGACTAAGGCCCCACACTGAGTGAGTGGAAGAAGGACTCCTAGGAAAAAGGAAACTTGGGGCCTTGGGTTGCGGGGCTAACAGAGCAGCTGCCCAGACCCAGCTCAGGCAGACAGGAATTACCACAGTCTGATTGGAGAAGGGGTCCGTGTAGTTGATCCTCTGGGTGGTGCAATTCATGTCACCCGGCTGGCCAGGGCTTGTCAGAGGAGGAATGACCTCGTAATGGTGCTTACAGCTGAGCAACTGGGCCTGACCGGGGTACAAGGCAATACCTGGGGGCACAAACAGGAAAAGCAAGTGTCAGAAATCACACTCCTGACCACATCCCTGAAATCATCTCACACCTACCAACAACCTACGTTCTGGACTCCCTGGAGGACTGCAGGGAAGGGAGAAGAAAAGGGTTTCAGAGGGTGAGGAGCCACATCCCCTGGCCTCAGAAAGCCCCGCTGTAGCAGAGGGCACAAGCCCCTCCTCAGTAAGCCCCTGGCCAACCTGGGATCCAGCCGCCCTGATGCCCACATCAAAACCCACTCCACCTCAGAGCCCCGCTCCACACCCTCCGAAGGAGTGTCTCTTGACTCAGCCCCTGTGCCACCCCTCTGGGCCAACACCCACCTGCAGAATCACTGGGAGGCTCTAAACTGTGGAACTCCTCAGAACTCATTTTGTCTCTTAGACTGGGAGCCCCAAGTGTGCAAGTCACATCCCAAGAGTCCCTCCCTCTTCCCAGCCCAGGCACCTCTACTGACAGTAGCTGTCCAGCCTCAAGGGCAGCAATGCTAAGACAGCAGCACATGGCATCAGAGACAGACAGACTTCAGAGACACTAAGACACCAGACAGAGAAAGTAAAACGTACAGATAAAGAAGACTCAAGCAGACACACAGAGAAGAGGGACAAACACAAGACAGGAAGAGATGGGCAGAGGAGCCATGACCAGCACACCTGACTCTGCTGGAGGCTGGCAGGAAGCCCCAGAGAGAGGGCACCCGGACTCTGGCTCTGCCATGTGAGCAGGCCCTCCCACAGGTTACTCAGGGGCATCTGTGGGCAGAACAGGTGGCACACACTGGGTGGACAGGGCCCAAGTCACACAGCTCATGCCTCCTCATTTACTCTACAGCCCCTAGAACATCCAGTGCCAGCCCTGCAGCCCAGAGCAGATAGCTTGCTCTATAGCAGAGTGGACTCCCCACTCAGGGACCAGACACCCCAGTGAGACAGGTATACCCAGTGTGGCCTGGGAGTCCCTCTCCAGGCAGGGTTGAATGGCCTCGCCTCCCCTGCCATCCTCCCCACCCCACAGTCCAGCCTTGACTCCTGCTTCTCCTCATCCCTGCCCTCTGGCCCCAGCCAAGTTAGTCTCATCCTCTCCAGAGAAGCCCTCTGCCTCCCTAGACACCCCTTCGCTCTGCTGATCCCCATCCCAAAGACACTCTCTTCCCATCTATGTGCTTTTCGAGGCCCATCTCAAATCCTACCTCTCTGCCAAGCTTTCCCTGACCCCTCTAGTAGCCTGCAGTAGCTGCTCCAGGCTCTGTCCATTTCTGTCCTCAGCACGTAACACACTCCCAACAGCAGCTCCTTGGGCATAGACTCTATACCTAGACTATGCTTGGTTGGACTCCTCTGCCCTGCCCGTAGTACCACAAATACAACGGCAGCTCAGGGAGTATCTGCCAGCTGACACCCTAGATCTGGGGCCCTGATGCCTGGCCCAGGGGCAGGCTCTACCTGGGGCATCATAGCGATCCACTTCCTTGTAAGACACAGACATGACAGGGTGCTTGAGTTTCTCACGAAAGTCTGTGATGGTCCGGTAGACCAGGAAGACGGCCACAGCCATGAGCAGCAGGTAGATGAAGATGAGTAGGACCGAGAAGACGTTCTTCAGGCAGGCCTTGCTGAAGCGGATGCTGCTGGAGGCGGACTCGCTGTCCAGGCCTGACAACAACAAAACACCATGTGACCCAGGGCACAGGGACAAGGTACAGACAGAGATGGCCAGCAACCTCCAGGCCCTTGCCTGCCTCACCAAGGAGGTGAAGTCACCTGCACGCCCAACCTTTCCACCTCACCCCACAAATCATAACAAAGGGCACCTGTAAACATTTACTACACAGCTTCTCTGCCAGGTAGAGGACACCAAGCTGAAGGAGACTTATTCATTGTCTTTAAGGAGTTTACTCTCAAAAGAAAAAAGATAAAAGATAAAAAACGATAAAAATGTTAAAAGAAAAAGCAAAAAACAAACAAAAAGAACAGAAAAAAGGAGTTTACTCTCTAGAGGGATAGGCAGTTACAATCCAACAAGTGAGCTGGCCCCAACCTACCTCTCTGGCCTTATCCCTCACTGCTCCACTTCCCCAGTTCTCCCAGCTCTAGCTCCACCTCTACTCATCGACTTTCTGTTCTTCTGGAGTGCCCTTCTCAACCCGGGATTCCCTCACACTTACCATTCCCTCTGCTTGATTTTCTTTTCTTCCACAGCTGATGCTTCACTCATCCTAAGCCCCGAAAGCTTTTTGCTTGGCATCTGGCTTCCAACAGTGACAGAGTAGCTTGGTCACGCCATCCTTCCATGGAAGCATTTTAATTTAGAAAGACATTTTCTTGGCCAGGCGCAGTGGCTCAAGCCTGTAATCCCAGCACTTTGGGAGGCCGAGGCAGGAGGATCACCTGAGGTCGGGAGTTCGAGACCAGCCTGACCAACATGGTGAAACCCCTGTCTCTACTAAAAATACAAAATTAGCTGGGCGTGGTGGCGCATGCCTGTAATCCCAGCTACTCAAGAGGCTGAGGCAGGAGAATTGCTTGAACCCAGGAGGCGGAGGTTGCAGTGAGCCGAGATTACTCCATTGCACTCCAGCCTGGGCAACAAGAGCGAAACTCCATCTCAAAAAAAAAAAAAAAAGAAAAAAGAAAGAAAGACATTTTCTTGAGGAAGCCTCTCCTGACCCCTAACCTTTATTTGGGCACCTCTTCCTCAGTGTTCCCAGGGAGCCCTGTACGTCCCCTACTTCATCACTCTGCAATGTCATGTCTATACATCTTTTATCCTCCTAGGCTGTGAGTTCCATGAGGGCAGGGATGGGGCCAGTCTTATCCCTAACTGAATCCTTAGCCCTTCATGCTATGCCTGGAACATTCTGCATTTACATGGTGACTGATTGAACACGTCCTGATGCTATTGGTACAACACAACTCTGTCTCCCCTACCTCCCTCACAAAATCCTGAGGCTAGAAGCTAGATTAATCTCTGTTATGGACGAAACTGTATCCCCCACCCTCAAATTCAGGTTGAAGCCCTAACCCTCAATGTGAGTATATTTAGAGACAGGGACTTCAAGGATATAATTAAGGTTAAATGTGGCCATAAGGATGAGGCCTGATCCAATAGGACCAGAATCCTTATAAGAGGAGGAGACACTAGGAGCACATGCACACAGGAAAAAAGGCCATGTGAGGACACAATGAGAAGGCAGCCATCTGCAAGCCAAGGAGAAAGGCCTCACCAGAATTCAATCCTGCTGGCACCTTGATATTGGATTCTCGCTTCCAGAACTGTGAGAAATAAATTTCTGTTGTTTATGCCACTCAACTGTGGCATTTTGTTACAGCAGTCTGAGCTGACTAAGATACTCCCACAGGGCTCCCTGTGCCCTCTCTGCTCCTCAGCTGAAAATGGAGCTCCCTGAGAAGAAGTCCTATTTCCTCCACAGCCCAGCTGAGCACAAGGCTGAGAACAAGGGAAGCATCTGAACGTAAGCCCCAAAAGGTATCTGCTTGGCATCTGGCTTCCAACAGTGACAGAGTAGCAGTGTCACATCACCCTTCCACAGAAAACAATTATAAACTTTGGACAACATATTTTAAATTATTTGAAGGCACTGGGAGAATGATCAAAAGCAGGTAGAAATTGAAAGAGAGGCTACCCTTGAAAGAGAAGAACTGTACTTGGTGAGATTTATACATCTGTAGCTTTTTGCCTAAGAATACATGCCAATCCCTATAAGGCATGGTTCAGAGTGACAGGGACAAAGTTCAGGGCTGGAAGAGCAGCCAGAAAGTTAAGACAAAACCATGAAAGGGAGGGAGCCACACAGGGGGTGAAACTCCCAAATCTGCAACTAAATATATGTTCAGATCCTTGGCTGGAGAACCCAGGGGGGGCCAGCAAAAAGTAACAACTGGAAATTGAAAGAACTGCATGGAGATTTCAACTACGGCTAATGCAGGGGAGATAGGAGTTTAGAGCTTAAATCTTGCCATATTAACAATATGCCAAGAAAAAAAAATACCCTTCTGAAGATCATAACAGAATCCAGAATCTCTATATCATTCATAATGTCCAGTGTTCAATCAAAAATCACTAGACATGCTAAGAAACAAGAAAATGTGACCTGTACTCAAGAAAAAAGCAATCTATAGAAACCAACACCAAGATGACCCAGTGTTGCAATTTAGCAGAGAGAAAATTTACAGCACTTAAAGGAAAATATCTGAATAAGGAATAAAGACAAGATCAATAGAGAAACAGAAACTAATAACAATGGCCAAATATATAGAATTTCAGTTTTGCAGGATGAAAAAGCATTGTGGAGATGGATGGTGGTGATGGTTGCACAGCAATATGAAAGTGCTTAATATCACTGAACTCTACATTTTAATGAGTAAGATGATGAGTTTTACATTACGTGTATCTAACCACTGTAAAAATGTTTCATAAAATTTAAAAAAACAGATGGAAATTCCAGATCTGACAAGAAATAAATGAAATAAAAAGTTCACTGTATAGGCTTAATAGCAAAAGATGGCAGAGAAAGAGTTTGTGAACTCAAAGTTAAATCAACAGAAACTATCCAATTTGAAGAAAATATTGAAGGAAAAAAAAAACCAAATGGAGCCCGGAAAATTGTTACAGTATCTAGCAGTGTAGTGACATGTAACTGGAGACAGAAAATGGGTCACAAAAAATATCTGAGGCCGGGGGTGTGGTGGTTCACCCCTGTAATCCCAGCACTTTGGGAGGCTGAGGCAGGCGGATCACAAGGTCAAGAGATCGAAACCATCCTGGCCAATGTGGTGAAACCCCGTCTCTACTAAAAATACAAAAATGAGCTGGGCGTGGTGGTGCATGCCTATAATCCCAGCTACTCAGGAGGCTGAGGCAGGAGAATCGCTTGAACCCGGGAGGCGGAGGTTGCAGTGAGTTGAGATCACGCCATTGCACTCCAGCCTAGGAAACAAGAGCAAAACTCCATCTCAAAAAGAAAAAAAAAAAAAAAAAAGACTATTGATATTGGGTTCTAAGATGGCTGAATAGGAACAGCTCCAGTCTACAGCTCCCAGCGAGAGAGATGCAGAAGATGGGTGATTTCTGCATTTCCAACTGAGGTACTGGGTTCGTATCACTGGGGCTTGTCATACAGTGGGTGCAGGACAGTGGGTGCAGCGCACCGAGTGTGAGCTGAAGCAGGGTGAGGCATCGCCTCACCCGGGAAGCAGAAAGGGTCAGGGAATTCCCTTTCATAGCCAAGCAAAGCTGTGACAGATGGCACCTGGAAAATCGGGCCACTCCCACCCTAATACCGTGCTTTTCCAATGGTCTTAGCAAATGGCACACCAGGAGATTATATCCCGCGCCTGGCTCAGAGGGTCCCACACCCACGGAGCCTCGCTCATTGCTAGCACAGCAGTCTGAGATCCAACTGCAAGGCGGCAGTGAGGCTGGGGGAGGGGCACCTGCCATGGCTGAGGCTTGAGTAGGTAAACAAAGCGGCCGGGAAGCTCGAACTGGGTGGAGCCCACCGCAGCTCAAGGAGGCCTGCCTGCCTCTGTAGGCTCCACCTCTGGGGGCAGGGCATAGCCGAACAAAAGGCAGCAGAAACCTCTGTAGATTTAAATGTCCCTGTCTGACAGCTTTGAAGAGAGTAGTGGTTCTCCTAGCACAGGGTTTGAGATCTGAGAACAGACAGACTGCCTCCTCAAGTGGGTCCCTGAACCCTGAGTAGCCTATCTGGGAGGCACCCCCAAGTAGGGGCAGACTGACATCTCACACGGCCAGGTACCCTTCTGAGACAAAACCTCCAGAGGAACGATCAGACAGCAACATTGGCTGTTCATCAATATTCGCTGTTCTGCAGCCTCCGCTGCTGATACCCAGGCAAACAGGGTCTGGAGTGCACCTCCAGCAAACTCCAACAGACCTGCAGCTGAGAGTCCTGACTGTTAGAAGGAAAACTAACAAACAGAAAGGACATCCACACCAAAACCCCATCTGTACATCACTATCATCAAAGACCAAAGGTAAATAAAACCACAAAGATGGGGAAAAAAACAGAACAGAAAAACTGAAAATTCTAAAAATCAGAGTGCCTCTCCTCCTCCAAAGGAACGCAGCTCCTCACCAGCAACGGAACAAAGCTGGACAGAGAATGACTTTGATGTGTTGAGAGAAGAAGTCTTCAGACGATCAAACTTCTCCAAGCTAAAGGAGGAAGTTCAAACCCAACGCAAAGAAGTTAAAAACCTTGAAAAAAGATTAGACGAATGGCTAACTAGAATAACCAATGCAGAGAAGTCCTTAAAGGACCTGATGGAGCTGAAACCCATGGCATGAGAACTACATGATGAATGCACAAGCTTCAGTAGCCGATTCAACCAACTGGAAGAAAGGGTATCAGTGATGGAAGATCAAATGAATGAAATGAAGCGAGAAGAGAAGTTTAGAGAAAAAAAGAATTTAAAAAAACGAACAAAGCCTCCAAGAAATATGGGACTATGTGAAAAGACCAAATCTACGTCTGATTGGTGTACCTGAAAGTGACGGGGAGAATGGAACCAAGTTGGAAAACACTCTGCAGGATATTATCCAGGAGAACTTCCCCAACCAAGCAAGGCAGGCCAACATTCAAATTCAGGAAATACAGAGAATGCCACAAAGATACTCCTCGAGAAGAGCAACTCTCAGACACATAATTGTCAGATTCACCAAAGTTGAAATGAAGGAAAAAATGTTAAGGGCAACCAGAGAGAAAGGTCGGGTTACCCACAAAGGGAAGCCCATCAGACTAACAGCTGATCTCTCAGCAGAAACTCTACAAGCCAGAAGAGTGGGGGCCAATATTCAACATTCTTAAAGAAAAGAATTTTCAACCCAGAATTTCATATCCAGCCAAACTAAGCTTCATAAGTGAAGGAGAAATAAAATACTTTACAGACAAGCAAATGCTGAGAGATTTTATCACCACCAGGCCTGCCCTAAAAGAGCTCCTGAAGGAAGCACTAAACATGGAAACGAACAACTGGTACCAGCCACTGCAAAAACATGCTAAATTGTAAAGACCATCAATGCTAGGAAGAAACTACATCAACTAATGAGCAAAATAACCAGCTAACATCATAATGACAGGATCAAATTCACACATAACAATATTAACCTTAAATGTAAATGGGCTAAATGCTCCAATTAAAAGACAGACTGGCAAATTGGATAGTCAAGACCCATCAGTGTGCTGTATTCAGGAAACCCATCTCACGTGCAGAGACACACATAGGCTCAAAATAAAGGGATGGAGGAAGATCTACCAAGCAAATGGAAAACAAAAAAAGGCAGGGGTTGCAATCCTAGTCTCTGATAAAACAGACTTTAAACCAACAAAGATCAAAAGAGACAAAGAAGGCCATTACATAATGGTAAAGGGATCAATTCAACAAGAAGAGCTAACTATCCTAAATATATATGCACCCAATACAGGAGCACCCAGATTCATAAAGCAAGTCCTTAGTGACCTACAAAGAGACTTAGACTCCCACACAATAATAATGGGAGACTTTAACACCCCACTGTCAACATTAGACAGATCAACAAGACAGAAAGTTAACAAGGATATCCAGGAATTGAATTCAGCTCTGCACCAAGCAGATCTAACAGACATCTACAGAACTCTCCACCCCAAATCAACAGAATATACATTCTTCTCAGCACCACACCACACCTATTCCAAAATTGACCACATAGTTGGAAGTAAAGCTCTCCTCAGCAAATGAAAAAGAACAGAAATTATAACAAACTGACTCTCAGACCACAGTGCAATCAAACTAGAACTCAGGATTAAGAAACTCACTCAAAACCCCTCAACTACATGGAAACTGAACAACCTGCTCCTGAATGACTACTGGGTACATAAGGAAATGAAGGCAGAAATAAAGATGTTCTTTGAAACCAATGAGAAGAAAGACACAACATACCAGAATCTCTGGGACACATTTAAAGCAGTGTGTAGAGGGAAATTTATAGCACTAAATGCCCACAAGAGAAAGCAGGAAAGACCTAAAATTGACATACTGACATCACAATTAAAAGAACTAGAGAAGCAAGAGCAAACACATCCAAAAGCTGGTAGAAGGCAAGAAATAACTAAGATCAGAGCAGAACTGAAGGAGACTGAGACACAAAAAACGCTTCAAAATATCAATGAATCCAGGAGCTGGTTTTTTGAAAAGATCAACAAAATTGATAGACAGCTAGCAAGACTAATAAGGAAGAAAAGAGAGAAGAATCAAATAGACACAATAAAAAATGATAAAGGGGATATCACCACCGATCTCACAGAAATACAAACTACCATCAGAGAATACTATAAACACCTCTACGCAAATAAACTAGAAAATCTAGAAGAAATGGATAAATTCCTCGACACATACACCCTCCCAAGACTAAACCAGGAAGAAGTTGAATCTCTGAATAGACCAATAACAGGCTCTGAAATTGAGGCAATAATTAATAGCTTACCAACCAAAAAAAGTCCAGGACCAGATGGATTCACAGCCGAATTCTACCAGAGGTACAAGGAGGAGCTGGTACCATTCCTTCTGAAACTATTCCAATCAATAGAAAAAGAGGGAATCCTCCCTAACTCATTTTATGAGGCCAGCATCATCCTGATACCAAAGCCTGGCAGAGACACAACAACAAAAGAGAATTTTAGACCAATATCCCTGATGAACATCGACGCAAAAATCCTCAATAAAACACTGGCAAACCGAATCCAGCAGCACATCAAAAAGCTTATCCACCATGATCAAGTGGGCTTCATCCCTGGGATGCAAGGCTGGTTCAACATATGCAAATCAATAAACATAATCTGCATATAAACAAAACCAAAGACAAAAACCACATGATTATCTCAATAGATGCAGAAAAGGCCTTTGACAAAATTCAACAGCCCTTCATGCTAAAAACACCAATAAATTAGGTATTGATGGGACGTATCTAAAAATAACAAGAGCTATTTATGACAAACCTACAGCCAATATCATACTGAATGGGCAAAAACTGGAAGCATTCCCTTTGAAAACTGGCACAAGACAGGGATGCCCTCTCTCACCACTCCTATTCAACATAGTGTTGGAAGTTCTGGCCAGGGCAATCAGGCAGGAGAAGGAAATAAAGGGTATTCAATGAGGAAAAGAGGAAGTCAAATTGTCCCTGTTTGCAGATGACATGACTGTATATCTAGAAAACCCCATCGTCTCAGCCCAAAATCTCCTTAAGCTGATAAGCAACTTCAGCAAAGTCTCAGGATACAAAATCAGTGTGCAAAAATCACAAGCATTCTTATACACCAACAACAGACAAACAGAGAGCCAAATCATGAGTGAACTCCCATTCACAATAGCTTTAAAGAGAATAAAATACCTAGGAATCCAACTTACAAGGGATGTGAAGGACCTCTTCAAGGAGAACTACAAACCACTGCTCAATGAAATAAAAGAGGACACAAACAAATGGAAGAACATTCCATGCTCATGGATAGGAAGAATCAATATCATGAACATGGCCATACTGCCCAAGGTAATTTATAGATTCAATGCCATCCCCATCAAGCTACCAATGACTTTCTTCACAGAATTGGAAAAAACTACTTTAAAGTTCATATGGAACCAAAAAAGAGCCCGCATTGCCAAGTCAATCCTAAGCCAAAAGAACAAAGCTGGAGGCATCACGCTACCTGACTTCAAACTATACTACAAAGCAACAGTAACCAAAACAGCATGGTACTGGTACCAAAACAGAGATATAGACCAATGGAACAGAACAGAGCCCTCAGAAATAATACCGCACATCTACAACTATCTGATCTTTGACAAACCTGACAAAAACAAGCAATGGGGAAAGGATTCCCTATTTAACAAACGATGCTGGGAAAACTGGCTAGCCATATGTAGAAAGCTGAAACTGGATCCCTTCCTTACACTGTATACAAAAATTAATTCAAGATGGATTAAAGACTTAAATGTCAGACCTAAAACCATAAAAACCCTAGAAGAAAACCTAGGCAATACCATTCAGGACATAGGCATGGGCAAGGACTTCATGTCTAAAACACCAAAAGCAATAGCAACAAAAGCCAAAATTGACAAATGGGGCCTAATTAAACTAAAGAGCTTCTGCACAGCAAAAGAAACTACCATCAGAGTTAACAGGCAACCTACAGAATGGGAGAAAATTTTTGCAATCTACTCATCTGACAAAGGGCTAATATCCAGAATCTACAAAGAACTCCAACACATTTACAAGAAAAAAAAAACAACCCCATCAACAAGTGAGTGAAGGATATGAATGGATACTTCTCAAAAGAAGACATTTATGCAGCCAACAGACACATGAAAAAATGCTCATCATCACTGGCCATCAGAGAAATGCAAATCAAAACCACAATGAGATACCATCTCACACCAGTTAGAATGGCGATCATTAAAAATTCAGGAAACAACAGGTGCTGGAGAGGATGTGGAGAAATAGGAACACTTTTACACTGTTGGTGGGACTGTAAACTAGTTCAACCGTTGTGGAAGACAGTGTGGCAATTCCTGAGGGATCTAGAACTAGAAATACCATTTGACCCAGCCATCCCATTACTGGGTATATACCCAAAGGAATGTAAATCATGCTGCTATAAAGACACACGCAAACATATGTTTATTGCAGCACTACTCACTATAGCAAAGACTTGGAACCAAGCCAAATGTCCAACAATGATAGACTGGATTAAGAAAATGTGGCACATATACACCATGGCATACTATGCAGCCATAAAAAAGGATGAGTTCATGTCCTTTGTAGGGACACGGCTGAAGCTGGAAACCATCATTCTCAGCAAACTATCACAAGGACAAAAAACCAAACACTGCATGTTCTCACTCATAGGTGGGAACTGAACAATGAGAACACTCGGACACAGGAAGGGGAACATCACACACCGGGGCCTGTTGTGGGGTGGGGGAAGGGGTAGGGATAGCATTAGGAGATATACCTAATGTAAATGACGAGTTAATTGGTGCAGCACACCAACATGGCACATGTATACATATGTAACAAACCTGCATTGCGCACATGTACCCTAGAACTTAAAGTATAATAAAAATATACATATACATATTGAAAAAAAAGAAATCTGAAAAAAAAATGGCCCAAAACTGGAGAAAGACAACAACTTACAGATCCAAGAAGCTCAATAAACGCCAACCAGGATAACTTAAAAAAAAAAAAAAAAAACCATCCCGAGGCAAATAATAATCAAAGTGCTAATGTAAAGAAAAGAGAAAAATCTTGAAGGCAGTGAGGGAAAAAAATATCTATCTATCTATCTATCTATCTATCTATCTATCTATCTATCTATCTATCTATTACATATAGAGCACTGATATTAACGACAACTAATTTCTGAACAGAAACAATGGAGGCCAGAAGACAATGGAACATCTTCAAATGCTGAAAGAAAAAAAATTTTTTGTCTACCAGTATAATTCTCTATCCAGCAAAACTTCAAAAATGAAGATGAAATAAAGATATTTTGAAACACAATGGCTGAGAGAATTCATCACTAGCAGACCTGCACTAAACTGCATGCTAAGAAAAATTCTGAAAGCTAAAAGGAATTGACACTAGATGGTAACTCTCAGATGTAAAGAGCACTGAAAATGTTAAATAAGTGAGTAAAACAAAAAGCTACTTAAAAAAAATTAAGACTGCCTACAGCAGAAATTACTCAACAATATGGTAAGGTTTATAACTTGCAAGAAAGAAAAAACAGAGAAACAAACAAAAAAACCCAGCAAGACAAGTAGAAAACAGCAAAATGGTAGAGCCAAATCCAGCCATATCAATAATCACATCAAATGTAAATGGACTAAACCGTCCAATTAAAAAGCAGAGACTGTCAGTCTGGATTAAGAATAAAACCCAACCATATGCTTTGATAGCAGATTTCAAATACAAAGACACAAAAGAATATCTGCTCATAATTATTTAATTTTACTTTATTTAAAGCACAAAAGCAGGCTCAGCACAGAACTATCAAAGTCTCCTGGGTTGGTAAAGACAAGGAAATAATTCATTCTTTACTTCTACAAGATCAAGCACCAACTCTACATGCATGATTTTGTACTAGGTGCTTCAGGGAGATATCAAATGGAGGACTGATGGTCTCTAATCCAAAGTGCTACAGAATTCAGAAACATATAAGGATATAAAACATGAGGTTTCCTTCAACTGCAGGAAGAATGGGAAGCACAGGGAGAAGGGCAGTTATCAGCAAAGACTCTGTGGAGGGGGTCATGTTAGTTCTGCACCTAAACCACAAGGAGAATTTTAAGGAAGAAATAATTTGGTTTCCATTATTCATTTATTTTCTGACTGAAAGAGCAGATATACTGTGCAGTGGTTACGAGCATGAGCTTTAGAGTCAGAGTTTTGAGCTCCAGCTGCAGCTTTGCTACTAACTACTCCATGATCCTAGACAAGTTACTCAGTGCTCCTAAAGCCTTACATTTTTCATGTAAAAAGAAAATAATCATTTCCATTTTACAGGATTTTTGAGAGAAGCAGATGACAGAACGCTGCAAAATGCATTACACAGTGCCTGCTCAATGGTAACAATTACTGGTACCAAAGAAACAGAATGTACCCTCTACCCTTCAAAAAATGAAGTGCTCATTTATGAAAATAGCAAAAATAAAGATCATAGAACTATAATCTCTTTTGAAAAATAAATCTGAAAAGATATACATTGAAAATAAAATGGAGGCAGGGCAGAATATAGTATCTTTCACATAGTAGGAATGTAATGTTTCCATGTTTGTCGAATGAATAAATAACCTAAATAATAGATGAACTAAGTCTTGCCATGCTAACTCAATCCATCAGAGAATATTAGTGCAATCAAGCATGTAAAACTATAAACCAGTGAATGTTCCTTGCTGTTTTTTGGCAAAATACTTTAGAAGGTTTTCACTTTACACAGAAATGCAAATTTCCAGAACTGTCAGTGAGGCCCCTTTAGGTTTTAAGGAACAGGTTACTGTGGGCAGTGGAGGTTTACTCTACAGGTACGAGGATAAGTGAGAACTGGGGAAACCCAATGGGTAGCTGAGAGCTAAGCCACCAAGGTCCACAGCAGCTCTAGTTGTCCAAAAGGAATTAAGGCAATTCTTTCTCATCTCAGCCTCTTTTGTGTTTGATTTCACTTTTGCCTCTACCTATTGCTAATAGACACTGTGTCAATTTCTGCTCCTTCATGGCTTTGCTATCTGCCTTCTCTCCATGTTTCTCTCTTGACCCTGCTCCACTTTACTAAGTCCTTCTCCGTGAGTCTTGCACTCAAATTCTCCCCGAGAAAGTATCCTGTATAGGGTGTTCCACCAGATACCTCACAAGACACTGACCTCCTTCAAGCCCAGCCTATAGATGGCTTCCCTTTCTTGGGTGCTGACCCCTGAGCAGTCAGCTGTAGCTGGGCTGCAGGGCCACAGGATCTATGCACAGGAACCTACCCACAGCTATTTAGCTTGGAAGGTACAACCAACTCCCATGGTCCAAATGGGACCATGGGTATCCTTCAAAACCTGATGGGTGAAAATACATTCACTGTCATGAGCTGCTCATAACTGCAGTGGCAATGAGTACCAGCTTACTACATTCTAACGGGGTTTGAAAAGATCACAAGATAAAACTGAAGGAACTCTGAAGTGACTGATTTGTTGCATAACATCTGAATCTAATTTTTAAGAGTTGACAGGGACCTAAAAGGCCATCTGGCCTAACTCTACTCTTTGTACAACAATCCAGATCCCACAGCCAGTAACTGGCACAATCAGAATGAGAGAGTCTTAAGAGTCCTGACTCCTAGCCCAATGCTCTTTCCCTACACAACTGTGAGCATTTTTACAATTACAGTCATTAATAATAAAAGATGTAATTGAAAGAATATAACTTCGTAACAAGTAGAGAAGTCTGAAACACTTTTTTTTTTTTTAAGAGACACGGTCTCACTCTGTCACTCAGGCTGGAGTGCGCTGGTGTGATCATAGCTCACTGCAGCCTTGAACTCCTGGACTCAAGTGGGGTCTCACTCTGTCACTCAGGCTGGAGCGCAGTGGCATGATTTTTGGCTCACTGCAACCTCCACCTCCCAGGCTCAATCAATCCTCCCATCTCAGCCTCCTGAGTAGCTGGGACTACAGGCACATGCCACCATGCCCAGCTAATTTTTGTTATTTATTGTAGAGATGGGGTTTCACCATGTCACCTAGGCTGGTCTAGAACTCCTGTACTCAAGCAATCCACCCGCCTCGGCCTCCTAAAATGCTGGGATTACAGGCGTGAGCCACTGTACCTGACCTGGAAAACTTTTTTTTTTGAGACGGAGTTTCACTCTTGTTGCCCAAGCTAGAGTGCAATGGTGCAATCTTGGTTCACCGCAACCTCCGCCTCCTGGGGTCCAGTGATTCTCCTGCCTCAGCCTCCCAAGTAGCTGGAATTACAGGTGTGCGCCACCACACCTGGCTAATTTTTTATATATTTAGTAGAAACGGGCTTTCACCATGTTAGCCAGGCTGGTCTCAAACTCCTGACCTCAGGTGATCTGCCCACCTCAGCCTCCCAAAGTGCTGGGATTACAGGGATGAGCCACTGCACCTGGCCCAGAAAACTTCTAAGACAAACTCTATACTACATCCAGGCTGAACAATATAATAAAGACGAACGATGACTGGCATCTGTGGACAGGTGTGTCCACTCTGCATTAAGCCAGATAAACATGATTTGAAATGTTTTGCCTTCATGATGGCCTTGGTTAAGGAAAGAGATGAAGTTCTCCCTACATGTTCCTGAAAATTCTAAAAATAGGCATAAAACAAGAAGATCACATGCCAATTCTATCACTGCAATTCATCTGGGAGAGGTACTTGGAACAAATTACTTGCATGGGAACATTGACCAAAAGCCTTCTCTTCTGTTTTACTCACAGAAGCCAAGTTTAGCTTCTTTACAGGCCTCTTCTTGATCCACAAATAGGAGTGTGATCTAAATAAAAACTGTAAAACTATTTACTTATCCTCCACACTTGCTATAAGTAACACTCCAATTCCAAAACTAGACACCATTATACTTTATCATAAAAAAAAAACAGTGCTGGTTATTTGATAAAATGTCCCACGCACTATGTAGTGAGAAAACTAACACTGGCTTTTTGTGGCAAACTGGATGAATGTGCTTTAAAAGTATCATCCTTTAAATGAATGCAAACTCAGGGTAGTAGGAAGACAAAAATAATGCACAAGATGTTCCTGGGAAAGGTAGTTTATATGCTTTGTAAAATTCAAGACAGAATTCCTTCAAAACCCCAAACTTGCCCCAGAATGCAAGTTCATCCACTAAGGGGATCTGTGATGGGCAATTCAGTTACTGAAAATATCATGGAACCTCTATTTAGAGGAAGGGGGCTTGGTTGTCTGCCATAATCCTGTGAAACTCCACCTTGCAGGGAGCACTAGGCTAAGAGGCATTCTGAATTTTTTGCCTACCTTTTTTTTCTGTTTAGTGTGGTCAATTTTGTTTCTCTTTTTTAGATATAATTTACATACCATACAATTTACCCTTTTAAAGTAAATATATTCAGCAGTTTTTTGTATATTCACAAGATGTATAACCACCACCACTATCTACAGAAAATTTTCATTACCCAAAAAGAAACTCCATACCCAAGAGTGGTTACTTCCCCTTTCCTGGCAACCACTAATCTAATTTCTGTCCCTATGGATTTGCCTGTTCTGAACATTTCACATAAAGGGCATCATATATGTGGCTGTGTCTGACTTCTCTCACTATGTTTTCGAGATACAGCTAGGCGCGGTGGCTCACACCTGTAATCCCAACACTTTGGGACTCTGAGGTGGGAGGATCACCTGAGGTCAGGAGTTCGAGAACAGCCTGGCCAACATGGCAAAACCTCGTCTCTACTAAAAATACAAAAAGTAGCTGGTTGTGGTGGCACATGCTTGTAATCCCAGCCACTCGAGAGGCTGAGGCAGGAGAATCACTTGAACCCAGGAGGCAGAGGTTGCAATGAGCCGAGACGGCGCCACTGCACTCCAGCCTGGGCAACAGAGACTCTTGTCTCAAAAAAAAAAAAAAAAAAAAAAATTTATCCAAGTTACAGCATGCATCAGTTCCTTTTTTTTTTTTTTTTGAGACAGAGTCTCCCTCTGTCACCCAGGCTGGAGTGCAGTGGCACCATCTTGGCTCACTGCAACCTCCACCTCCCGGGTTCAAGTGATTCTCCTGCCTCAGCCTCCCAAGTAACTGGGATTACAGGTGTGCACCACCATACCTGGCTAATTTTTCATATTTTTGTTAGAGACGGGGTTGCACCATGTTGGTCAGACTGGTCTTGAACTCCTGACCTCAAGTGATCCACCCGCCTTGGCCTCCCAAAGTGCTGGGACTACAGGCATGAGCCACCGCACCCAGCCAGTTCCTCATTCTTTTATTGTCAAATAATATTCTATTGTGTGAATGTACCATTTTACTTATCCATTCATCAGTTGATAGTCATTTGGCTTATTTCCACTTTTTGACTATTACAAATAAAGCTGCTATGAATATTCATGTACACATTTTTTGGAGATGTAAGTTTTCATGTGGACGTAAGTTTTCATTTCTCACGAATATACACCTAGGAATGGAATTGCTGGCCCATATGGTAACTCTGTAGTTAACCTTTTGAGGAACTGTCAGACTATTTTCCACAGCAGCTGCACCATTTTACATTCCTATCAGCAACGTATGGGGGTTCCAATCTCTCTACATCCTTGCCAAAACTTATTATCCACTTTTTAAAAATTATAACCATCCTAGTGGGTGTGAAGTGCTATCTCATCGTGATTTAGAGTTGCATTTCCTTGATGACTAATGATGTTGGCATTATTTCATGTGCTTACTAGTCATTTGTATATCTTCTTTGGAAAAATGTCTATTCAGATTCTTTGCCCATTTTTAAACTGAGTTATTTGTCTTTATTGTTGAATTGTAGGTGTTCTTTATATATTCTAAATACCAGTCCCTTATCAGGTGTATGATTTGCAAATACTTTTTCCCATTCTGTGGGCTGTCTTTTCACTTTCTTGATAGTGTCCTTTGATACACAAAAGGTCTTCTTTTGAGGGGGACGGGAATGGAGTCTCACTCTGTCACCCAGGCTGGAGTGCAACAGCACGATCTTGGCTCACTACAACCTCCGCCTCCTAGGTTCAAGCAATTCTCCTGCCTCAGCCTTCTGAGTAGCTGGAATTACAGGCATGAGCCACCATGCCTGGCTAACTTTGCATTTTTAGTAGAGGTGGAGTTTCACTATGTTGGTCAGGCTGGTCTCAAAATCCTGACCTTAGGTGATCCACCCACCTCGACCTCCCAAAGTGCTGGAATTACAGGCGTGATCAACCGTGCCCAGCCAAGGTTTTCATCTTGATAAGGTCTAATCTATGAATTTTTTCTTTGTCTATCCCATTATATACAGTTGTTTCTATGGAGAACTGATTGTAATGACTAATTAACCAAGGGTTTTCCTCAGTTTGATTACATCTCTGATGTAAGAAAGTGCTTATTCTATTAGCATGTCTGATGTCATTTCTCCCTTTGAACAGAATACTAATTGGTTCTGATTCACTTGATAGACAGGAAATGAATAGACTAAAGCTTTTAGTGCATTATGGTATGGAATTATGTATTCCAGAGAATAAAACTGATTTACAACCCTGCACGTTTGGGTGCTTAACTTGAATCTCTGCTACACTGTCCTCCTTTCTTGCAGCTCCTACCTCCAGGCCCTCCATTCAACTCCTTTTCCAGCCCCAGCTCCTCTTTTGGCCCCCAAACAGGGATGTTTGTGAGGTTCAGTCTTCATGGCCCCCCTGCTCATTTTCCATCTGTCCCTGTGACCTTGCCCCCATGGGATTTCTCCAGGTTGCACAACTCCAGCCCTCCCTTCTCTCCTGTCCATCCTGTAACTGTCACTGCCTCTGGGCCATCTCGACTTCAACTGACCGTATGCCAACAACAAATAGGTTTTTTTTCTTTTTTGAGACAGGGTCTCTCACTCTGTCGCCCAGGCTGGTGTGCAGCAGTGCAATCTCAGCTCACTGCAACCTCCGCCTCCTGGGCTCAAGCGATTCTTCCACCTCAGCCTCCCAAGTAGCTGGGATTACAGATGCATGCCATCATGCCCAACTAATTTTTGTGTTTTTTGTAGAGACAGAGTTTTGCCATATTGCCCAGGCTGGTCTTGAACTCCTGGCCTCAAGTGACTCACCCGCCTCAGCCTCCCAAAGTGCTGGGATTACAGGCGTGCCACCACACCTGGCCATCTTCTTTTCTAAGCCATTTGCCTCTCTAGGCTCCATCTCTATGTAGTATCATTCTCCCGTTTGCCTGGCTTCAAAATTAAGAATCCTCTTTGATTCTTCCTTCTCCCCCTCTGCTACAGCAAAGCACCCTCTCACATCAGCCTTTGCCGCAGCATGGTTGTCTCCCTTTGCCTTAATCCAGCCACATTCATCTGAATCCTCACTTTACTCCTCTTACTGTCCTGTTCCAATCCTTTTATTTTTTATTTATTTATTTTTTTGAGACAGAGTCTCGCTCTGTCGCCCAGGCTGGAGTACAGTGGCGCGATCTCAGCTCACTGCAAGCTCTGCCTCCCAGGTTCACGCCATTCTCCTGCCTCAGCCTCCCGAGTAGCTGGGACTACAGGTACCCACCACCACTCCTGGCTAATTTTTTGTATTTTTAGTAGAGACGGGGTTTCATCGTGTTAGCCAGGATGGTGTCGATCTCCTGACCTCGTGATCCACCCACCTCAGCCTCCCAAAGTGCTGGGATCACAGGCATGAGCCACCGCACCCAGCCCCAATCCTTTTAAATACTCCCTGCTCCCTACTAGATAATGTACAGACCCTGACACTCAGACCCCTCCATAATCTGACCAAGTCTATCTTTCCTACCTCATCTCCCTCTACTTTGCTCACCAGCCCTCTGCCCCAACCATACCATGCTATTCATGATCTCTGACATGTCCTATTTTATTCCCATCTCTATACAGTTGCTCATGTCATCTCCCTTCCCTAGCCAGCCCCTTCTTTTTCACCTACATGTTACCTTTCCTTCAGAGTAGTCCCACTTTCTCAAACCAGCCAGCCTTCCTTCCTTTTTTTTTTTTTTTTCCAAGTAGCTGGGATTACAGGCGTGCATCATTCCTGGCTAATTTTTGTATTTGTATTTTTATTTTTTGAGATGGAATCTTGCTCTATCACCCAGTCTGGAGTGCAGTGGCACAATCTCGGCTCATTGCAACCTCCGCCTCCCGGCTTCAAGTGATTCTCCTGCTTCAGCCTCCTGAGTAGCTGGGATTACAGGCATCTGCCACCATGCCCCGGCTAGTTTTTTTGGTATTTTTAGTAGAGATGGGGTTTCACCACGCTGGCCAGGCTGGTCTCGAACTCCTGACCTCAGATGATCTGCTCGCTTTGGCCTCCCAAAGTGCTGGGATGAGCCACAGTGTGAGCCCCTTCAGGTGTGAGCCACCACGCCAGGCCCCTTCATTAATTTTGAAGCACCTGACTCTACCATTTCTTTGGCCCTCATTCATTCATTCCAGTTAGCTCAGTTGCTCCTAGATGAGAGGCTCTCTTGCTCTAAATCTCCACTGCTCTCCCCCAGAGGACAAATAGGTACTGAGTACCTACAGTACTCATACTTCTATGGAGTCATACTTCCATACTACACTCCACACTAGGCACTGGAGTTACAGTAAAGGAGGAGAAGACAAAATCTGTGTGCCTCACAGAACTTGTAGGGCAGTGCCAAGGGATGGATAACAATTAACTGAATAATTAAACTCAATAAATGTGACCTATCAACTGTGTTAACTGTTACAAAGGAAAGCATATCACAGGGAGAAAGGGACCTCATCAGGGAAGTCAAGGAAGGCTCAGAAGGAGGGACAAGTTCTTCCTTGGGTAACCGGCCTTCTGTCTCTATATGCCTGAGTTCCTGGAGGAACTTACTCACCCTCTTTGTGGTGTCAGCACTTGGCATAACAAGTGAAGCAGTCCTTAATTGATCTGCTACAGGGAGGGGAGAATTTGGAGCAGGAAAGCTCTCATCTAGGAACAACTGAGCCAGAGTCAGAACACCTTGCGAGACAGCTCTGGGTATGGATTTGAGCCCTGCCACTCATGAGCTCTGAGCATATTCCTTAACGTCTGTGCCTTGGGTTCCTCATCTATAAACTAGGACTAACCGTTCACCTCACAGAGTGGCTGTGAAGATTACAGGATAAAGTGTATATAAAAAGCCCTATAGGCTCAGAGCAATGGCTTGCACCTGTGATTCCAGCACTTTGGGAGGTCAAGGCAGGAGGATCACTGGAGCCCAGGAGTTTGAGACCAGCCTGGGCAACACTGCATGACCTTGTCTCTAAAAATAATTTAAAAATTAGCCAGGTATGGTGGCGCATGTCTGTAGTCTCAACTACTCGGGAGGCTGAAATGAGCCATGATCACACCACTGTACTGTAGCCCAGTCCACAAAGCAAGGTCCCACCCCACAAAAAAAAAAAAAAAAAAAAAAAAAGCCCTAAAGCCCTACACAGGCCTAGTACATGAAAGCACCCCCAAAATGGCAACCACTATCACCATTACCATTATTTTTATTATTATTATTAGAAGACTCAAAGGGGCCAAGCATGGTGGCTCACGCCTGTAATCCCAGCACTTTGGGAAGCTGAGGCAGGTGGATCACTTGAGGTTAGGAGTTCAAGACCAGCCTGGCCAACATGGCAAAACCTCGTCTCTACTAAAAATACAAAAATTAGCCAGGAATGATTGCAAGTGCCTATAATCCAGCTACTCAAGAGGCTGAGGCATGAGGACTGCTTGAACTCAGGAGGTGGTGGTTGCAGTGAGCCAAGATCGTGCCACTGCACTGCAGCCTAGTTGACACAGGGAGACTGTCTCAAAAAAAAAAGAAGAGTCAGAGGCAAGAAATGAGCTCTGAGAGTTGTGTATCAGTCCATCAAATTTGAGCCAACTCACTACTGACCCAGCCAAATGGACTCCTGAGATCTGAATCTTCTGTGATTTAGAAAGGAGATGAGCCCAGCTCATCTGGTTCCCCCAAAGCAACTGGGAAGGCTACCCCAAAGCAAGTGGGAATGCTCTTGCCAGTTGATGGAACTACCCAAAATTTGCTCTGCCTGAGGCCTGGCTTCCTATTCTGATTGACCCCAGGCTTTGCAGCCCCAGGAATCTGAGGCAAAAGAGAGGCTGCTAAGGTCCAAGGACATTAGGGCCACCTCCTGATTTACCTGGGCACTTCTCTATGAAAGGAAACACAAAGACAAGCCTCATCTTTCCAAGTCTGGCCTCCCTCCTCTTCTTTCTCCTGCCTCCATCTATGCACTTCTGGTTGGGGGCAAGAGGGTAGTGCAAGGTGTGGTAGGCAGAATAAAGGCTCCCAAAGATGTCCAAGTGTTAATCCTTAGAACCTGTGAATATGTCAAGTTGCATGGAAAAGGGGAATTAGGGCAGCAAATGGGACTAAGGTTGCTAATCAGCTGACTTTAAAGCAGGGAGATTATCCTGGGTTACCTGGGTGGGCCCGATGTGATCACAAAGGCCCTTTAAACACAGAAAAGGGAGGCAGGAGAGTCAGCATCAGAGTGATGTCATGTGAGAAAGACTCGACGAGCCACTGCTGGTTTTGAAGCTGCAGGAAGGGGCCACAAGCCAAGGAATGCAGGAGGCCTCCAGAAGCTAGAAAAGGCAAAGACCAAGTTCTCTCCTCAAGCCCCTAGAAAGGAATTCAGGCCTGCTGACAGCTTAATTTTAGCCCAGTGAGATCCATTTTGGACTCCTGACCTCCAGAACTATAAGATAATAAATTTGTGTTTTTTTAGGCCACTAAGTTTTTGGTAATTTGTTATAGAAACAATAGAAAACTAATATACAGGTCTTTCAAGTTGTTCTCCCGGGAGCCTTAGGGCTTTAGAGGCAATGCCTCATGTCAGAGGGAGGATTAGCCGTGCTACTATCTTTTACATATTGGGCTTTAATAAAAGAATGCTTATTGTTTTGTGTGAGTGTTTTTGGTTTTTGTCTGTTTGGTAGAGGCAGGATCTCATTTTATTGCTAAGGCTGGTCTCAAACTCCTGGCCTCAAGAGATCCTCCCATCTTGGCCTCCCAAAGTGTTGGGATTACCACCACTTAAAATAGTTTTTATAAACCACTGATGTAGGCCAGGTGCGGTGGCCCACGCCTGTAATCCCAGCACTTTGGGAGGCTGAAGTGGGCGGATCACCTGAGGTCATGGGTTTGAGACCAGCCTGGCCAACATGGTGAAACCCCATCTCTACTAAAAATAAAAAAGTAGCTGGGTGTGGTGGCACACGCCTATAGTCCCAGCTACTTGGGAGGCTGAGGCAGGAGAATCACTTGAACCTGGGAGGCAGAGGTTGCAATGAGCCGAGACTGTGCCACTGCACTCCAGCCTGGGTGACAGAGTGAGACTCCATCTCAAAAAAAAAAAAAAAAAGAAAACACCACTGGTGTAGTAGAGAGAGTTTAGGGTTGGGCAGAGTTTGACTCAGTCTGTGTTTACCAGCTATATGACCTCCCCATGCTTTACTCAACCTCCCTGAGGTTGGGGGCCTCATCTGTAAAAGGGGGATAACCACTTCACAGGGTTGATGTGAGAATTAAATGGGGCAAATGGGGTACGACAGATCCTGGCACAGGAGAAGCAGTCAGGAAATGTTAGCTGCCCTTCCAGCCTCCTTCCTTCCAGGCAGTCTTTTTTTACTTTATTTTATTTTTTTTTTTGAGGCAGAGTCTCACTCTTGTCACCCAGGCTAGAGTGCAGTGGCATGATCTCGTCTCACTGTAACCTCCGCCTCCTGGGTTCAAGCGATTCTCCTGCCTCAGCCTCCCAAGTAGCTGAGATTACAGGCATGTGCCACCACACCTGGCTAATTTTTGTATTTTTTAGTAGAGACAGGGTTTCACCATGTTGGCCAGGCTGGTCTTGAACTCCTGACCTCAGGTGATCCACCTGCCTCAGCCTCCCAAAGTGCTGGCATTACAGGCATGAGCCACCGTGCCCGGTCCCTTCCATGCAGTCTTCTGTAAGGAGCAGGCAGAACCACATTAGTTCCTGTCTTGTTCCCCTCTCCCACAAACAGATGGGATCCATCCAAGAAGTTGAAGTCAGGCTGGGGCTTCATTCATTCACTCAACAAATCTTTATGGCGTGGTCAAGGCTAGGCTGGTGAGCAAAACAGACTGGTCTCTGCCCTCAGGGAGTTTCATTCTAGTAGAACAGGGGTCCCCAACCCCCAGGCCACAGACCAATACGGGTCCATGGCCTGTTAGGAACTGGGCCAATACAGTAGGAGGTGAGCAGTGAGTGAGCATTACCACCTGAGCTCCACCTCCTGTCAGATCAGCTGCAGCATTAGATTCTCATAGGAGTGCAAATCCTATTGTAAGCTGCACATACAAGGGATCTAGGTTGTGTGCTCCTTATGAAAATCTAACTATGTCTGATAATCTGAGGTGGAACAGTTTCATCTTGAAACCATCCCCCAACCTCCATCTGTGGAAAAATTGTCTTCCACAAACCGGTCCCTGGTGCCAAAAAGTTGGGGACTGCTGTAGTAGAACAGACAGACATTAGTCAGACAAACAAACGCACCATTCCAACAGCAATAGCCGGAAAGGAGAGGCGCGTGGACTATGAGACGGTGCTGGAGGGTGGGAGGTAATCTGGCCAGAAGGTTAGAGAAGGCTCTGTGGAAAAAAATGAGTGAGCTGAAAGCTGAAGAATGATTAGGCATTAACTATGTGAAGAAGGAAAGTGAATTCCAGGCAGAGAAATAAAACAACAAAAAGGCCCTGTGGTGAGAGGGAATGAGGCCTAAAATAAAAAAAGATCAGCATGGCTGAGGGCCAGAGAAAAAGGGGATGAGAGGAAGGAAGGAATGGAGAACTACTCTGAAGTTCAACTGCGTTAAGTGGTAGTACCATTCCTGCAAACAGGAAATACTGGGAGAGGACCAAGCTGGGACTGAGATGATCATGAGGTCAATTTTGGACATGTGGAGTTGAGGGAAGCTTTGGGAGATCCAAGCAGAACTATGACATGGGCAGTTGGAAATACAGGATATATAAATTTGCGGTTTGTAGGTAACCTCTGGGCTAGAGATGTAAACATGGGAGTCACGTGTGAGCAAGCAGTGGCTGAAGCAAGGGAGCAGGCCTGGGTAGAACTGTCTATGAGAGTGAGAGAAAGGGGCCTGCAACCAACATTTCATGCCCAAGAGCTGGAGAGTGACCGCAATGGAGCCTGGAAGGAGTGGCCTGAGAAATGCTGCATCACAGAAGCTAAGGGAGCAGCGTGTATCCGGGCGGAAGAAGTAGTCAGCAGTGTCAAACATTGCCGTAGGGCTCCATAAGATGCCAACTGACTGATGGGACCCTGCTTACCCAACTGAGCAGCATTACTGGACAGGCCTAGTATCTGAAAGAGGGGGCCTATTAGATCTTCTTTGACCCGGATATTAGAGGCTCACCTGCTAGCAGTTTCCAGGGAAAGAGGAACAGAAGAGCAGAGATCCAAAGCATTTGCCATTGTATGCAATGACCTGACCTCAGGAAGTGGCTCAAATTGGAGTTAAGAGCAGATACCAGCCTAGACATATCCTCTGTTCCAAGGCTGGTTAAATATGTATGGCTTTAAAACTAGGGCAATACTTGAGACCTGACACCAGGGTGCAGGGAAGGGGGCTCCTCCTCTCCCACAGTTGGCAAGGCGCCTAGACTGGGGTGTCCAGCTGCAGCAACAGCACAGCAAAGCACCAAACGCACTCACCTGGTAAGATACCCGGACCTTGGACTCTGACCGTCTCCTTGTCCTGCTCGTCTGCCAGCTCTGAGTTCTCAACCACCTGGACCAACTCCTCACTCAGCTAAAGGGAGAAGCAAAGAGAGCAAAGACAAGTCAGCTATGTCAGCCTTGCTTTTCTACACTAGAATAAGAAAGCAGAAGCTGCTTGTCACTTAATTGTCACCAAAAACCACATGACATAGAGTGTGTTACAGCAATTTTACAGATGAGGACACCGAAGCTCAGAAAGCTCAATAAACTTTCTGCTCTCTGTGTTCCTAGGACTACTGTAGCAAGTACCACAAACCGAACAGCTTAAAACAACGGAAATGTCTTCTCTCACAGTTCTGGAGGCTAGAAGTCTGAAATTGAGGTGTTGGCAGGGTTGGCTCCTTCTTCTACGAGTGGTGAGGAAATCTGTTCCATGCCTCTCTCCTGGCTTCTGGTGACAGCCAGCAATCCTTGGAGTTCGTTGGCTCGTAGAGGCATCCAATCTCCACTCTCCGCTGCCATCTTTACAAGGTGTGCTCTCTCTGTGTCTTCACATGGTCATCGTCTTGAAGGACACCAGCCATGTTGGATTAGGGGCCCACCCTACTCCTGTATGACCTCATCTTCACTAATTACACCTGCAATGACCCCATTTCCAAACAAGGTCACAATCTGAGGTACCTGGGGTTAGGACTTCAACATATCTTTTTTAAGGAAACACAATTCAACCCACAATATTTTCCATGGCCATAAAGCCAGGGAAAGATATGGCAGGAGTAAAATCCAAGTTGGTCTAGTTCCAAAGCCCATAGTCTTAACCACTTCCCAAAGGAAGAGGAAATACGGCTTAGAGTCTGCTGAGAGAAAAGAGGGAACAGTGAAGGTGGTGTCAGAGCTCTCTCTGGCACTCTGGCTGAAGTCCACTGACTTGGGCTGCAAATGGCAGAACACAGCAGGAAGGGCAGGCAGTCCACCACAGGGATAGGTGCTGATTATAATCAGCAGCCTGGTAGCCAGCAACCTCAACCTCACTTCACCAGTGGTCTCACCTGTCAAATGGGGAAAATTATACCACTGAGAAGGGAAGAAGGACGGAAAGGATACCATGATAATCAACAAGTCTCTGTAGGATTAAGGAGGAGGGCAAGAGAGCTCAAGACCAGAGCTTAGAAGAGAAGCCATCCCTGAATTGGGAGGGAGAGGGGACAGCTTTCCCAAGCACTTTGTCAGGTTCACAGCATCAGTGTTTAAGGTTTTAAGGTTTCTAGACATTTTCATTAAAAACTCACCTCCAAGAGACAAGTGAAAAACATCTCTTACGAATCTATTCTTCTATCTCCCTCTCCACGACTCCACTCCTGCCCCTTAGAATCAGGCAAAATCTCCAGTTTAAAGCCCTCGAAGCACAAAAGAAAAGGCCAGGTGCGGGGCCTGACACGGTGGCTCATGCCTGTAATTCCAGCACTTTGGGAGGCCGAGGTGGGCGGATCGCCTGAGGTCAGGAGTTCGAGACCTGCCTGGTCAACATGGTGAAACCCCATCTCTACTAAAAATACAAAAATTAGCCGGGCATAATAGCGCACACCTGTAGTCCCAGCTACTTGGGAGGTTGAAGCAGGAGAATCTCTTGAACCCGGGAGGCGGAGGTTGTAGTGAGCCGAGATCGCACCATTGCACTCCAGTCTGAGTGACAAGAGTGAAACTCAGTCTCAAAAAAAAAAAAGAAAGAAAAGAAAAGCAACCAGTGGGAAAGGGCAGGGAGGCTGGTGAAGGCACCAAGAGATATAAGCCACTAGCAGGAGCACAGATAAAGAGGTCTCACTGGCCAAAGGGAGAGGAGGATGTTAGTCCTGGGAAATCTCAAAGTTCCCTGATTCAAGCCTCACTCAGGTTCACCCTGACCCAGGTGCTAACACCCTCCCACCAGGTTCCCTTCCTGACTACCCACAGCCATAATGAGCCTGCCTCCTTGCCTGCCCCTGGCCAAATTCTCAGTATATCCCACCCTCCCCAAGGAAAAATCCCCCCTCAGCAAATAAACCTACTCAGAGCTAGGTACACTCACAGAATGGTTCAGGAAGAAAGACGCCGGCCATTTTCTGGGTGGCCCCATTCTCTGAGGAAGTGAGAGACAGGGACTCCAGAACAGGCCTCTGAAGAAGGCAAGGGGAGGGCACCCTTCCAGTGCCTCCCACTTTGGAGATGCCTCCAAAGAGAAACTGAGTCTACCCTGGGCCTTGGCCCTCCAAGCGGGGTAAGTGCCTATATTTTAATAAACATTTTATAAGCCCTGCTAGGCTGGCTATGTGTGGATGGTGAGGCACATGTTCCTGCTAAGCCAGGACCCCAAAGCATCCTGGACGCAGGAGCTGCCCACACCGTTAACAAGAGCTATCATTCACTGTGGGGTCACCATTTGCCAGACACTGAGCCAAGCGCTTTCCACACCAACTTATCTAATCCCCAAACAACCCTGGGAGGTAGGGACTTTTATTATCTTCATCTTTCAGACAAAGAAACTGAGGCTCAGAAAGTTATGTGACTCAATAAAAGTCACACAAACAGCAAGAGGCACAGCCAGGCACGAACGTGGGCTTTCTGACTTTTATCCACTGTGCTCCACACCCTATAAACCTAAAAACTTTCAGACACATCTCATTCCCCAGGATTCCCCCACTGTTTAGGGTACAGAATCTAGGGGTCATGGAATCCACAGCACTGGTTAAAATCCCTCAGACTCCTTTCAGACAAAGGAAACAGATGGAATAAAGGGGATGGGAGGAGAAATATAGAAATCTGTCCAAGGCCAGATTCCAGCCAAGATCCTACACTAAAAAATGGCAAGCCTTAGGCAAATCTCATCTGCCTTCAAGTTGGCTTCTCCCTCCACTGTAGGGCTAAGCCACCTGCTTTATATAGTCCACAAAGCCCTTCTGTGAATCAGTCTTTTACAAAGGGAGATATGTACAGCAGTAACTATTGACTAAGACAGAAGGCAGCAAGTTCATTATGAGAAGGACAGACAGAAATGCAGACGGGTCTGGAAAGCGGACCCCTATGGAACACATGGAACTTGAGGTAGCCCTTGACTTCTGGGGGCATTTTACCCAATGGAGCTTGGCGGAGCGTTGATGAAGGAATGGAGTGAGCACACGCACAGAGGCAGGAGCACATTTTAAAACTGAGTTTCCACTGTGCCAGACCCTAGGTGGGTTAGGAGGTGGCAAAGGTAATGGGAGACATGGCTGCTGTGCTGTTCAGAGCTTTGGGAGCCTGCTGAGAAGTCTGGACTGTTCTGGGCAGACGAAGGGCAGCGTCAGGTCTGAGAAAAAAGGAATGCTCCGAGGTGAAGGCAGGGCCTCAAGGCAAATCTGGAGAGTATAAGAGACTAAAGGGAGCGATGGTAACACAGTATCGCACTCAGAGGTTACAGCAAACACAGGGACACAAACTGGAGGAGGACCGACCTGGAACTGCCTGACTTTGGCCAATGAGGCGGCACGATGGAGGGGCACAGAAGAGGACGGTTGCCAAAGATGACCAAGGTTTGGGGGCCGAGAAGTGGAGGCGGAGGAGGAGAGCAGTTTCACTAATACAGCTGGAGAAGTGAGGAGGCAGGGCTTGCTTGAAGGAAGCGCTGGACGCACAGCCTGCAGCGCAGGACAGAGAAGAGACAAAGAACTGGAAAGTGATAAAGTCGTGGGAGGAGGTGAGACTGGAGGGAGAGACGAAGAGGAGCGAGAACTAGCAGAGTCCATGAAGGCACTTTTTCAAAGTTAGGTGGTCACCAAAAAACAGGTAATCAATCCTGTCACCAGCCGCGGGGACAGCGAGGCCTTGGGCTTGGAGGGGGAGGATGCCGACGATGCCGACCGCGCATCAGATCTCGCCGGGAGGAGGGCGCGGGCGCTCCACTTGTTGCAAAGAACGCCGGGTTCCTCTGGGCCATTGGGCTGCCGCTCCGGCGGGGAGCGCGGAAGGCTGGGCCTCAGGTAGCTTCAATCATTCACCTGCTGGTTACGGGTCGCGGCGCCGGGGACCCTACTCCGGACCTCGGCCATGCAACCCGCAGCATACGGAGAACGCTGGGCGCCCGCTCCGCTGCCCCGCTTCCTTCCTGCCCCTGGGCCGCTCCTCTGCACCCCGGGAGCCCTCCCCTGACGCACCCGTCGGTCCCTCGGAAGAGCCCTCTGCCGCGCAGCCCCGACACCCCCCGCCCCGCATCCGCCCAGGCCCCCGGGACCCTGCTCCTCCGCCTCAAACTTCCCTTCCGTCTCTCACAACCTCGTACCTCCTGGTAGGATGTGGAGCGCTCCTGCCGGATCATGGCACTGACCAGAGCTTCGGCACACCTGAGACCGCCCCAGCCCGCGGCGCACGGACGCAGCACTGCGGCCGCTGCACCTGGACCTACCGGCTCCGCGAGGCGAAACCGGTCCGGAGGGGCGTCCCAGAGACCAGGCGTGGCGATACTCGGCGCATGCGCCTGGCCGCTGCCGCCCAGGAGTCGCGAAAGTGTTGATGGGAAATGTAGTTCTGGGCGGGGGCGCCCCTCACACCAGCTCTCACCCCTGTGGCGGAGGCCTGCATGTGACCCTGGGCCAGCTAAGCTGGTCCTTAGACGCGTGCCTCTGCGTCTCTCACTTCCTCTCTTTGTTGGAGGGGGAGGGACGGAGAAGAGGAGTGGAAAGTGGAACAAAGTCAGATGAGTAGGAGCCCCTAATCTATAATTGCAAGAGGAAGCTTGGCCTGGCGGTTTAAAACGGTAATAAATGTCTGGAGAGCACTTTGTATGTTAGTTACAAAGCGCTCTCACTCACATTATGCCGTTGATTCTGCAAGGAACCCTGTAAGAAGGACATTTTTCTCCCTAATTTACAAATGAGGAAACTGAGGTACTTTGTTTCAGAAAGGATGCGGGTGGAGCGGTAATCAAATGAAGATTATTTCATCCAGGGGTAGACTGCGGAGCCCATGTTCTCTCCATTATTCCAGGGGCAGGAGTACCCCTAGGTTCTTGTCCTGGCTCTGACCCTCCCCTTTAGGTCTTGCAATGCTCTGAGCCCTCCTCTCCTCGCCTTAGAATGCAACTGCTAAACCCTGCCCTGCCTGACAAGGCCTATGAAAGCAGAAAGGAAGGATCGTGCAGAGAAAGCCTAAAGCCGCTGTTCAGCCACAGAAGAAGCCTCAAGCGCTAGATGTGGCGTCAAATCTGGTGTTGGCCCTGTGGCAGGGTGGACCTGAAGACCACATCTTCCTCTCCTCCCACTGCCTGAAACAGCTGTTGTGTGAGGGCCCTCGGCTCCTCAGTGGTGAAGCAGATAGAGGCTGCTTGTTGTGCCTTGGTGAATGCTGCTCTGTGTCCCTTGCAGCTGCAGCTTGGTAACCCCTCCACTCAGGCCACTGGGAGCCTCTTCTCTCCTCAGTGATAAGCAGAATAGTGCCAGCCACATCAAAGAACCCTGGACCTCCTGGAGCATTAGCAATGGGAGGTCCCCATCACCTCTCCTGACCACTCACCCCTATCCTAGGCCCTCTGCTCTTAAATCTGTTATATGGGACAATATATATAGTGCCTAACACATTGTAGGCACTCGACAAATGTTTGTTAAATTTATGAATGGAACACTGATTCCAGCCATTTCATTTAACAGTTGCTTACCAAAACAAATTAACAATAGCAGACCACTAATTAAATTCCTTACTGTGTTAATACAATGGTACTTGATAGAACAAGTTCACACCATCATAGAATATTAGAGCTGGAAGGAACCAGAGAATTCTATTCCAACCCTGTCATTCCTCTCTAGTCTTTGTTGGTGTGACCAAACTGGAAAATTATGGGCTCCCACATTTGAAGGAGATACTGGCTAATAAAATATAAAATATGGCTTAACAAATACAATGTGCTGGGCACTGGGATACAGAAATGGATAAGATACCCTTGGGTCCTGGCTTTCGTGGCTCTTTCATGCAACTGTGGAGAGACAGATCATAAACATGTAAATAATGTTCTGTCCTTGCAGCCCCCAAGTCCTCTCTCCCATTCCTTCATGAGCACACACCAGTCAGGCTTTACTCCCCTCCACTCCACTGGAACAGTGCTTGTCAAGGTCACAAGTGACCTCAGTGTTGTCACATCAGATGGCCATTTTCCCATCCTCCTCTTTCTTGATTTATCAGCCACAGTGGACTTGGCTGATCCTCCCTCCTCCTTGATACGCGTTCCTCCCTGGCTTCCAGGACACCACACACTCCCGGCTTGCTCCTACCTCACTTTGAAGCCATCCTCACAGGGTTAACACGAATTCTGCACAGAAATAGAGTTATAATTAAGCATTAATCAGGCTGTAATTTGACCCACTTCCTTGTAGCCAAAAGTCATGTAGCACTAGATACTGACCATTTGCATCTCCACTGCTCCTACAGGTAGGATTTCTGACATTGGAATCATAAGGCTTTTGCTTAAGAATTGTTTAAGGCCAGGCCCAGTGGCTCACGCCTGTAATCCCAACTCTTTAGGAGGCCGAGGCGGGCGGATTGCCTGAGGTCAGGAGTTCGAGACCAGCCTGGCCAACATGGTAAAACTTCATCTTTACTAAAAATACAAAAATTAACCAGGCATGGTGGCGGGCACCTATAATCCCAGCCTCCCTAGCCTCCCTACTCAGGAGGCTGAGGCAGGAGAATCGCTTGAACCCGGGAGGCAGAGGTTGCAGTGAGCCAAGATCACACCATTGCACTCCAGCCTGGGCGACAATAGCAAAATTCTGTCTCAAAAAAAAAAATTGCTTAAAATGTTTTTCAGATCACAAATTCCAGTGAAACAGCTGACACCAACAAGTTTGAAGACACCAACAGAGGAATGGAATCAGCATGAGAATACAGCTGCTTCTCTCTCTGTCCAATGATTTCACCCTGTTCCCTTTGGCCAATCAGCAGTCTCCACACTTCAGCCTACTCCTTAAAAACCCTTAGAAAAGCCGCAAACTCCTTGAGAGAGGGTTTGAGGTTCCCCTCCATCTCCTCGATTGGAGGCCCTATTGGTAAGCCTCTTTTTCTACTGCAACTCCGTCTTGGCATATTGACTTGCTGCACACATCAGGCAACAGGCCTATTACAGTTACAGTTACTGCTCTTTCTCAGCCTCTCTGCTGACTTCTCCTCATCTCAGCTCTACAGGGCGGACTTTCCCAAAGCTAGGTTTGTTGTTGTTGTTTTGGTTTTTTTTAGATGGAGTCTCGCTCTGTCACCCAGGGTGGAGTGCAGTGCGGCAATCTTGGTTCACTGTAACCTCTGCCTCCCGGGCTCAAGTGATTCTCCTGCCTCAGCCTTCCAAATAGCTGGGATTACAGGTGCCTGCCACCATGCCTGGCTAAAATTTTCATATTTTTAGTAGAGACGGGGTTTCGTCATGTTGGCCAGGCTGGTCTCAATCTCCTGACCTCAAGTGATCTGTCTACCTCAGCCTCCCAAAGTGCTGGGGGAATTATAGGCGAGAACCACCACGCCCAGCCCCAAAGCTAGATTTTCCACCTCCTTTCTATTCACTCCGTAGGGGCTAGTGAAGTGGTCACCTCTAGCCTCATGGCTTGAATTATCATCTATACCCTAAAGATTCCTGCTATAATTGACTTGTGTTCCCCCAAAATATGTTGAGGACCTAGACCTCAGTACCTCAGAATGTGACCTTAGATGGAAATAGGGTCATTGCAGATGTAACTAGGATGAGGTCATATTGGAGTAAGGTGATCTCTCAGTCCAATATGACTCGTCCTTATAAAAAGGTGGAAGACATGGGCCAGGGTGGTAGGATGCTAATATATCTGGGGGATGTCAAGAGAGGCCTCCTGATGGCAGTTACTTTTGAGTTGAGACCTAAATGACAAGAAGGGACTAGCACATGATGGTCTGTGCGGGTACAGGCAGAAGGCACAGGTACAGTACACAGGCCCTAGGCTGAAGCCAAGCAGAAGGCAGTGTCAGTGGAGAGGACCACTAGGGGCATGTAGTGTAACCACCTGATGGGTTCTTCCTGCCTGCTGTATAGACAATATCAATTCACTGAGACCATGGCATTGCAGTAAAGAAAGAGTTTAACTGACTGAGGCCACAGGGAGACAGAGTTATTACACAAATCAATCTCCCCAAGCATTTGGGGGCCAGGGGTTTTCAAAGGTAGTTTGTGGGATAGGATAGGGGTGGGTGCTTGCTATTGATTGGTTGGGGTTGCAATCACAGGGGTGTGGGAAATGGTCCTCCAGTGCACTTAGTCACTGCTGGGTGGGGGCCACAGGAGTGATTGGTGGGTCCAGGTGGAGCCATCAGTGTCGGACATGCAAAAAACCCGAAAAGACATTTCAAAAAGCCAAGCTGAGGTTCTACGATAGTGACGTTATCTGCAGGAGTAATTGGGGAAGTTGCAATGTCTTGTGACCTCTAGAATAATGGCTGGCAATCATTTACATGTATACCTTAGCAGGAGGCATTTTCAGGAGTCAGGGCAAGGGAGAAGCCAGGGCTTTTTTTTCCCTGTTCTCTGCCTCTCACAGTTTCCCTTCCATGGCTCCAGCCCCTGATACAAAGGCTTTTTGTGGTCCTAGCTTCAGCCAGGTGACTCAGGCCCTTAGACTCTAATAAACACCACTGTTGCCTGGCGTGGTGGCTCACGCCTGTAATCCCAGCACTTTGGGAGGCTGAAGCGGGTGGATCACCTGAGGTCGGGAGTTTGAAGCCAGCCTGACCAACATGGAGAAACCCTGTCTCTACTAAAAATACAAAGAATTAGCCGGGCGTGGTGGCGCACACCTGTAATCCCAGCTACTCGGGAGGCTGAGGCAGGAGAATCACTTGAACCTGGGAGGTGGAGGTTGCAGTGAGCTGAGATTGTGCCACTGCACCCCAGCCTGGGCAACAAGAGCAAAACTTCATCTCAGAAAAGATACATAAAAATAAATAAACACCCCTGTTACCCTTCCATTGGCTGGAATGGTGACTTCCTGCTGTTGATACTCTTGGTTGCCTCAGGGTTATTGTCTCAGCTTCTTTCATCACCTGTGTAACTGGCTCCCTGTATTCAGCCATTCTGTTCTATCCAGAATGGTTTCTATTTTGGGAGAGAGAGCATCAGGATAAATAGCTAATGCATGTGGGGCTTAATACCTAGGTGATGGGTTGATAGATGCAGCAAACCACCATGGCACACGTTTACCTATGTAACAAACCTGAACATTCTGTACATGTATCCCAGAACTTAAAATAAAATAAAATTTTAAAGAAAAAGAATACTTTCCATTTTTCTTGCCGGTGACTAACGGATTCCAAGTGCTTTGGAAAAATATGTCTGGGTTCAAGTAGAAAATGACAATCAGAGGGGTGCCTGGAGAAATCCAAGGGCCTATAAGCATGTTATTCATGTATAGACTTATCCTCAGCATCTCAGGGAGGGGGGAGTTATATGGGATCAGTAGAAATTAGAAGGGTCTTTTGGCTTAAAGATGTTCCTTACAAACAGAACTGTAGAAAGAGAAAGGGCCCAAGCAGAGAGGCAGTACAAGGTATGATAGGGATGTTATCGTGACATGCATCAGGAAGGGGATGATATTCAATTCGGGGGTTTTCAAGGGCCTCCTCCATCCCCAGAGATCTTGTGACACAGTGTAATGTAGATACTGCACTTCGAGGTTTACAATTCCACTACCATTGTTAGTTTTAACACAGTCCTATGAAAGAGGCAGGCTGGCATGTTACTAATGTGGAAATTGAGATTCAGAGTAAAGTTAATGCACACAGATCCTGTTTAAGTCACTCTGCACTAGAAACCCATCCTGTTAAATAAGTAAAAGTATAAACATTTGGTATAGTCGCTGGGGGGAAGGATAGCCTGGTGGTTATGGCAGGCTGTAGGACACATGGCCTGTGCTTGACTTGGCTCTGTCACCTACTGTGAGAGCTACGTGAGGTACTTAAGGTCCCCTGACATAGTAATAGTTATGTCCCAGAGTTAAAGTGAGGATTAAAAGAGCTTATAAACATCAAAGTGCTGAAACCAGTACCTGGCATACAGTGAGCCCTTTTCTGGTCTCCTTTGCCAGTTCTACCAACCACCAAATGTTAGGAGCTCAGTCCCCTCTGTCCACATGCACTTCCCTTGGCGATCTCAGCCATTCCTGTGGCTTTACATACAACACCTATGCCAGTGAATTCCAAAATTTCTATCTCCAGCCCAGAACTCTCCCCTCATTCTAGACTTGTATATTTAATTGCCAATTTGATACCTTCAGTTAGATGTCTAACACACATCACAAACTGAACAAGCCCCAAATTGATCTTGATCTTCTCCTCCAAAACCTACTCCTATATCAATAAATGGCAATTCCATCTTTCTAGTTACTCAGGGCAACAACCTCCAACTCACCTCTGACTCCTCTCTGTTTCTTACATCCCAAGTCTCATCTGTCAGCAAATTCTATCAACCACATCTTCAAAACATATCCATAGTCAACCACTTCTCACCACATCCCCAGGCACCACCCTGGTCCAAGCAGCCATCATCTCCCACCTGGATTATTGCAGTAGCCTCCCGGCTTCAGCCAGAGTTATTCCATTAACATTTAAACTTATTCTGTCACAGGTGTCCTAACCAGAATGACTCCATCTTGAATAAAGGCCATATAAAGCCAAAAAAAAAAAAAAAAACTGCTGGGTGACTTTCTCAGGAAGTTAGGCACTCTTTATCACAAGATGTCTAGGGCTGAGGAAACAAGTTAATGGAAAAAGGCATTCTTAGTTTAAAAATGGGTTTTACTCTAATGATGCTATTAATAGTACACCCATAAATTCTCGCTGAAATCAATAGTTACACAAGAGAACATGAATACTAATATCCTGTCACAAGCTGATCACAGGACTTTATAATAAAGTACACTATTCTTAGCCCTAATATCCTATGTAAGCAAGCGTTACATTAAGGTAGAGGCATTCCTCCTCTTGCTTTCTGAGCATGCCCTACTCTGTAATAGAGTGGTTTCTAATAAACTATTTAAACTTTACTATACTCTGTGACTTGCCCTGAATTATCTCCCTGCAAGAGCCAAGAACCTGCTCTTGGGTTCTTGGATGAGACCCCTTTTCTGGTAACATTTTCCCATTGCATCTCCACTGGAACCTTAATGAGGTGAGACCCTCCAACCCAGAGGAAATACACTGTGCAGCACCAATTGGCCAACTTTGGGTAAGTAGTGGAATATATTTTTATAGTGGTAAAGGACGGGGTACTTGTCTAAAACTGGTTAGAGGTCCAACTAGGAAGGGTTGGAGGCCCTCCACATCCTCATAGCTGGATATGGATTCAGTGTGACGAGATATTAACCATTACTCCCTTTGGATTAGCCCTCCTTGCACTCTTGGCTGCTCGTTAAAGGCTGCTACTTGCCAGTTTCCTGATTGCTGTCTATGTTTTACTGCTGTGTTTTCCTGCTGTTTTTCACAGGCCTCACTTGACCAGTCCTGATATTTTTAACTTTTCACTTTCCTCATTTGCCTTCAGATTATCGGCTCTTCGCCTGTCTGCTCCGGCATCCTGTTAAGGTACATTGGGGATGAATGGTTCTGCAAGATTTACTTTCCCTATATGTAGCCCATTTACATGAATTATTTATTGCCTCCCCTTCTCTCAAAATTGAAACTTGGTACTTCCAATTTTTATTTATTTATTTATTTATTTATTTGGAGATGAAGTTTTGCTCTGTCGCCCAGGCTGGAGTGCAGTGGCGTGATCTCAGCTCTCTGCAACCTCCGTTCCCCAGGTTCGAGTGATTCTTATGCCTCAGCCTCCCGAGTAGCTGGGACTACGGGTGTGTGCCACCATGCCTGGCTAATTTTTGTATTTTTAGTAGAGACGGGGTTTCAGCATGTTGGTCAGGCCGGTCTTGAACTCCTGACCTCAAGTGATCCACCCACCTCGGCCTCCCAAAGTGCTGGGATACAGGCGTGAGCCACCGCGCCCAGCCAGTACTTACAAATTTTAAATGAAAAATTCCAGGGTGTATGATTGAGCCAGGCAGCAATTATGCCAGTCCCATGTAGACAAACAGCTATAGAATAGGGAATTGGAGATTTGTTTTTAGCAGTTCCTTTTCATCTGCTCACTAATCAAATGACTTTTACTTCTTGGTTACGGACAGCAAGACCATGTAAGTTTCACCCTGCTTGCCATCACTGTCCTGAGCCTGGACATTCCTTCCCGGGTCTGTGTCATTTCCCTTGCTTAATGAGACATTTCTTTGTCAAGTCCCCTATTGTGGTCTCTCTAGTGCAAATGGCCCAACTCATTATTTGGGTAATATGAATAGCTGAATTAAAGTGACCATGGGGGCTGGGTATAGTGGCTCACACCTGTAATCCTAGCACTTTGGGAGCCCAAAGCAGGAGGATCATTTGAGCTGAGGAGTTCAAGAGCAGCCTGGGCAACATAGCAAGACCCCGCCTCTATTTTTATTAAAAAAAAAAAAAGTGATCACAGGATCATTTTCCCTTGCTCATTTGGCTCTGAAAGCTCTTTCATCCTTTTTAGTGGAGCTTGGCCAGTGGCAGTACAACCTTATTCACAATGATCTCTATTTTCACCTTTACCTGCTCCCTTCATGGGTAACACAGCCTTAATCCTAAAAAGCTCACCACTAGGGTACATATTAGAGCATTGGGACCAATTTAAATTAGGTGGGCTTAAGAAAAAGAAATGTTTATTTTTATGTAATATTGTTTGGCCCTAATAGGGCCAAATAATAATGTTATTATTCCAAATAATAATAATGTTATTTGGAAAGTCAAGAAAAATGGCCACCTAATGGAACTACAGCCTTTAATAGTTATACTTCAACTTGATTTGTTTTGCAAGCAGGAGGGAAAATGGGGTGAAATACCATATGTTCAAACATTTCTATTGCTTAGTCAGGATAAAACTTTAAAACAAGCATGTGCATATTTAATGAAAATAAAAGAGGAAAACTAATTAGATATTCTAGATGATCTTTCAATGCAAGCCTTGGTCAGTTCCAATGCTTCAGGTGCATCTGCCCCTGTCCCTTCTAGCCCTTCTAGTAGTTCTGTTGAGACCTCTTCATCTCATCCTCCTTACCCGTCTAGCCCTATTTTACATCTACCTCCTTCTGAGATGCTTAGTCCTATTCTGTACCCGTTACTCCCTGAGGAACCCAGCCCCACCTGTATTACCCATAGTGGAGCCTCTTAGCAACTTTCAAAGGAAAATCTTTGCTTAGAGAAGTGGTAAATGGGGAACAGGGCACTATAAGGGTATGTGTCCCTTTTTCTATGTCTGATTTGGCATTATGCAAAGAAAAATTTGGTTGTTTCTCTGAAGACCTAGGAAAATTTATAGATGAGTTTGAGAAACTAACTCTGACATAATTTAACCTGGCAGGATTTGCATATTTTGTTATCCACCTGCTGTACAGTGGAAGAAAAACAGTGGATTTTGGAAATAGCTAGGACACATGCAGATGAAATGCTATCCCACAATTCTAATCATACTATCTACAGGGTTGGGGGTATTGCAGTTCCTGATCAAAATCGAGGATGGAATGATCAAAGGAATAGTGAAGACTGAGAAGAGAGATCACATGATCACTTGTTTATTAGAAGGGATAAACACATGTACGAAAAAACATGTTAATTATGATAACGTGAAGGAAGTTACCCAAGGTAAAGATGAGAATCTGGCTTTGTTTCAGGGACAATTGAGGCAATTAGGAAATACACTGATCCCACTTCAAAAGGACAAACCTGATTAGGGGTACATTGTATAATCCAGTCTGCCCTTGATATCCATTGGAAACTGCAAAAAAAGCAGCCTTGGTTCCCCAGACTACTATGAACCAGTTTTGGGACACGGCATTTATGGTTTTTAATAACAAGGACAAGACAGAGAAAGCAGAAAAACTTAAGACAGCTTCTCAAAAGGAACAGCTCTTAGCTGTGGCCTTAAGCTTGCCACACATATGGGGGTTGCCCTTACACTTCTCAGCCTTGGCAAGGGAAGCTAGAAGGCAGAAAGCCCCAATCTGGGCTTCCAGATCACCGCAACTTGAATATAAATTAATGTGCTTGCTGTAAGACAACTGGCCATTAGGAAGAGGCGCACCACTCACTCTCGGGTTTGCTCAGACATCCTTAGTTTAGGTGCTGAAGGCCAAGAGTGATGGGGCTCAAGACCTTCTGCCACAGCTCTCATTGGGCAACAAAACCATGTATCTGGAGGATCCTGGGGTAACCCTTGAAGTGGCAGGTAAGAATATTAATTTCCTTCTCTATACAGGGGCTGCTTGCTCTGTTTTGGCACATTATGAAGAGGCTTTATCATCCCGAGACTGTATGATCACAGGGATAAATGGACAAGCTCATAGGTGCTGTTTTAGCATCCTATAAGCTGCTCTTCTTTTTTTTTTTTTTCTTTTTTTGAGACAGAGTCTCATTCTGTCACCAGGCTGAAGTGCAGTGGCACGATCTCGTCTCATGGCTTTGTATGTTTTTCTTTTAATGCCTGAATGCCCTGCCTCTCTTTTGGGAAGAAATGTATTAATTCAGCTTCAAACTGTAGACTCTTTCAGAGATTACAAGGTGGATGAGGAATTGCTTTTACTTCTCTCCAAGACAATGGAGAAAAATTAATAGAGATTCAGCTAGCTTGCATGTTGTAGTAACCTCCCAAATAGATCCTATGGTTTGGAACATTTAAGTTCTGGGGAGGGCATTACATACCCCTCCAGTTTGTATTTAACTTAAACCAAACCTGGTGTCTCATATTCCCTGGAAAAGACAATACCCTCTGAGACCAGAGGCACAAAGAGGAATCCAGCCATTAATAAATAAGTTTCTGCAGTTTGGTTTGCTGAGACTCTGAGTCTCCCTGTAATACTCCAATCTTGTCAGTTAAAAAGACAAGTGGAGACTATAGATTTGTTCAAGACCTCCTGGTTGTCAATGAGGCTGTTGTTCTCATACATCCTATAGTATGCAATCCTTACAGGCTGTTAGCCCAGGTCCCTGGGGGTGCTAATTGGCTTACAATCTTAGATCTTAAGGAAGCCTTTTTCTGTATTTTGGTGCACCCTGATTCACAATCCATCTTTGCTTTTGAATGGACTGACCCACATAGTCATTTAGTTTCTCAATTAACTTGGACAGTTCTTCCCTAGGGGTTTGGAGATACCCCTCATTTATTTGGAAATGCGTTGGCTAAAGAATTTAAAATGTTATGATTGGATAAGGGCACCATTATTCAGTACTTAATGATCTGCTTATTGCTAGCCAACCAAAAGGGACTCAGACAATAACACCATTTCACTGTTAAATTTTCTGAGAACTAATGGGTATATAGAGTCTTGCTGTACAAGGCCTAGATTTCTTTTCTTTTTATTTTTTTGAGACAGGGTTTGGCTCTGTCGCCCAGGCTAGAGTGCAGTGGTGTGACCTCAGCTCAATGCAACCTCCATCTCCTGGGGTCAAACAGTCCTCCCACCTCAGCCTCCCAAGTAGCTGGGACCACAGGTGCACACCACTACACCCAGCTAATTAAAAAGAAAAAATTTTTTTAGAGACGGTTTTGCTGTGTTGCCCAGACTGGTCTTGAACTCCTGAGCTCAATCAAGTGATCCTCCCACCTCGGCCTCCCAGAGTGTTGAGATTACAGGTGTGAGCCCCTACGCCAAGCCAAGGCCCAGATTTCAACTCAAAAAGTTAAGTATTTGGGATACATCTTAACTCCTGGCACCCGGGCAATAGCCCTGGTACAAAAAGAAGCTATTTTGGGTGTTCCAGAACACCAAACTAGAAAACAATTGCGGGCTTTCCTAGGGATGGCAGGATTCTGCCATTTATGGGTACCCAGATTTGGGATATGGCCAAGCCTTTAGATGAGGCTCTATGAGGAGCAGACTCAGATCCTTCTGAATGGGATAACAATTATAAACACGCTTTTAATACTCTCTAAGAGTACATCTCCAGCCTTAGGAATCCTCAGTCTTGACAAACCAGTCTTCGTTTACGTGGCTGAAAAACAACAAACAGCCCTGTGCATTCTTGTCCAGAAACTAGGAGATATCCTTTAACTGGTGGCATACTTTTCTAAGCAATTATACCATGTAGCTTCAGGATGGCCCAGATGTCTCAGAGCAGTTGCAGCAACTGCTATTCTGGTAGATGAAGCTAACAAATTAACTTTGTGGCAACATCTGGAGTTTTTGACCCCACACCAAGTACAAGAGGTTCTAGAAGCTAAAGGACACCTATAGATAACCAAGATATGCTTATTAAAGTAGCAGGCTTTATTGTTTAGACACTCCTGATATTACTCTTAAAGGATGCCAAACCTTAAGCCTGGCTACTTATCTGCCTGAGGCTATGGACCCTCTAGATCATTCTTGCATGCAAGTTATGGAGCAAATTTATTCCAGCTGGGCAGACTTAAAAGATGAGCCACTAGATAATCCTGAAACAGAATGGTTTACAAATGGGGGCAGTTTTATGTATCAGGGAAACTGGAGAGCCAGGTAGGCTGTTGCC